>NC_000012.12:37460128-37611643 GCF_000001405.40 Homo sapiens | reverse complement strand
GAATGTTTCTGTCTAGTTTTTATGTGAAGATATTTCATTTTCCACCATAGGCTTCAAAGCACTCTAAATGTCCACTTTCAGATCCTACAAAAAGAGTTTTTCAAAACTGCTCAATCAAAAGTAAAGGTTCAGCTCTGTGAGTTGAATGCACACATCACAAAGAAGTTTCTGATAATGCTTCTGTCTAGTTGTTATGCGAATATATTTCCTTTTCCACCATAGGCCTCATAGAACTCCAAATATACACTTTCAGATTCTACAAAAAGAGTGTTTCAAAACTGCTCTATCAAAAGAAAGGTTCAACACTATTAGTTGAATGCACACATCACAAAGTTATTTCTGAGAATGCTTCTGTCTAGTTTTTATGTGAAGATATTTCTTTTTTCACCTTAGGCCTCAAAGCGCTCTAAATATCCACTTGCGGATTCTACAAAAAGAGTGTTTCAAAGCTGCTCTATCTAAAGAAAGTTCATCTCTGTTAGTTGAATGCACACATCACAAAGAAGTTTCTGAGAATGTTACTGTCTAGTTTTTTTGTGAAGATATTTCCTTTACCACCATAGGCCTCAAATCACTCCAATTATCCAGTAACAGTTCCTTCAAAAGGAGTGTTTCAAAACTGCTCTATGAAAAGAAATGTTCAACTCTGTGAGGGGAATGAACACATCACAAAGAAGTTTCTGAGAGTGCTTCTGTCAAGTTTTTATGTGAGGATATTTCCTTTGCCAAAATAGGCATCAAAGCACTCTAAATATCCAGTTGCAGATTCTACAAAAGGAGTGTTTCAAAACTAATATATCAAAAGAATGGTTCAACACTGTGAGCTAAATTCACACATCACAAAGAAGTTTCTGAGAATGTTTCTGTCTACTTTTCATGGGAATTTATTTCCTTTTCCACCATAGGCCTCAAAGCCCTCCTAATATCCACTTGCAGATTCTACAAAAAGAAATGTTCAACTCTGTGAGTTGAATGCACACATCATGAAGAAGTTTCGGACAATGCTTCTGTCTAGTTTTTATGTGAAGATATTTCCTTTTCCACCATAGGCCACAAAGCACTCCAAATATCCACTTGCAGATTCTTCAAAAAGAGTGTTTCAAAGCTGCTCTATCAAAAGAAAGGGTCAACTCTGTGAGTTGAATGAATACATCACAAAGTATTTTCTGAGAATGCTTCAGTCTAGTTTTTATTTGAATATATTTCCTTTTTCACCTTAGTCCTTAAACTGCTCCAAATATCCATTTGCAAATTCTACAAAAAGACTGTTTCAAAACTGTTCTCCCAAAAGGAAGGTTCAACTCTGTGAGTTGAATGCACACATGACAAAGAATTTTCTGAGAGGGCTTCTGTCTAGTTTTTATGTGAAGATATTTCCATTTCCAGCATAGGCCTCAAAGTGCTCCAAATGAACATTTGCCGATTCTACAAATAGAGTGTTTCAAAACTGCTCTTTATAAGGGAAGGTTCAACTCTGTGATTTGAATCCACACATCACAAAGCAGTTTCTGAGAATGCTTCTGTCAAGTATGTGAAGATATCTCGTTTCCAACGAATTCCTCAAAGAGCCCCAAATATCCACAAGCAGATTGTAAAAAAAGAGTGTTTCAAAACTGCTCTATCAAAAGAAAGGTTCAACTCTGTGAGATGAATGCACACAACACAAAGTAGTTAACGAGAATGCTTCTGTCTAGTTTTCATGTGAAGATATTCCCTTTTCCACCTTAGGACTCAAAACGCTAAAAATATCCACTTGCAGATTTTACAAAAACACTTTCTAAAAACTGCTCTGTCAAAAGGAAGTTTCAAAACTGTGAGTTGAATGCACACTGGCAAAGAAGTTTCTGAGAATGCTTCTGTCTAATTTTTATAAGAACATATTCCCTTTTCCAACATAGGCCTCAAATCACTCCATATGAACACTTACAGATTCTACAAAAAGACTTTATAAACTGCTCTATCAAAGGAAAGGTTCAATTCTGTGAGTTGAATGCACACATCACAAATAACTTTCTGAGAATGCTTCTGTCTAGTTTTTATGTGAATATATTTCCCTTTCCACCATAGGCCTCAAAGTACTCCAAATGAACACTTGCAGATTCTACAAAAAGACTGTTTCAAAACTGCTCTATCAAAAGAAAGATTCAACTCTCTTAGTTGAATGCACACATCTCAAAGAAGTTCTGGAGAATGCTTCAGTCTAGTTTTATGTGAAGATATTTCCTTTTCCACCACAGGCCTCAAAGCGCTCAAAATGAACATTTGCATATTATACAAAAAGAGTGTTTCAAATCTGCTCTATCAAAAGAAAGGTTCAACTCTTTGCGTTGAATGCACACATCACAAAGGAGTTTCTGAGAATGCTTCTGTCAAGTTTTTATGTGAAGTTATCCCGTTTCCAACGAATTTCTCAATGAGCTCCAAATATCCACAATTAGATTCTACAAAAGGAGTGTTTTAAAACTGCTCTATCAGAAGAAAAGTTCAACTCTGTGAGTTGAATACACGCATCACAAAGATGTTTCTGAGAATGCTTCTGTCTCGTTTTATGTGAAGATATCCCCGTTTCCAATGAAGGCCTCAAAAATCTCCAAATATCCACAAGCAGATTCTACAAAAGGAGTGTTTCAAAATTGCTTTATCAAAAGAAAGGTTCAACTCTGTTGGATGAATGCACGCATCTCAAAGAAATTCCTGATAATGCTTCTGTCTAGTTTTTATGGGAAGATATTTCCTTTTCCACCATAGGCCTCTAATCATTACAAATATCCAGTTGCAGATTCTACAAAAAGACTGTTTCAAAACTGCTCTCTCAAAAGGTAGGTTCACCTCTGTGAGTTGAATGCACACATCACAAAGAAGTTTCTGAGAAGGCTTCTGTCTAGTTTTTATGTCAAGTTATTTAAGATATTTCTTTTTCCACCATAGACCTCAAAGCGCTCCAAAGGAACACTTGCAGATTCTACAAAAAGAGTATTTCAAAACTGCTCTATCAAAAGAAAGGTTCAACTCTGTAAGTTGAATGCACTCATCACAAAGAAGTTTCTGAGGATGCTTCTGTCTACTATTTGTGTTAAGTTATGTCCTTTTCCACCATAGGCCTCAAAGCTCTCTGAATGAACACTTGCAGTTTCTACAAAAATACTGTTTCAAAACTGCTCTATCAAAAGAAATGTTCAACTCTGTGAGTTTAATTCACACATCACAAAGAACTTTCTGAGAATGTTTCTGTCAAGTTTTTATGTGAAGATATCCCGTTTCCAACGAATTACTCAAACAGCTCTATATATCCACTAGTGGATTCTACAAAAGGAGTGCTTCAAAACTGCTCTATCAAAAGAAATGTTCAACTCTGTGAGTTCAATGCACACATATCAAAAAAGTTCCTGAGAATGCTTCTGTCTAGTTTTTATGTGAAGATATTCCCGTTTCCAATGAAGGCCTCAAAAATCTCCAAATATCCACTAGCAGATTCTACAAAAAGAGTGTTTCAAGTCTGCTCTATCAAAAGATTAATCTCTATTACATGAATGCACACATCACAAAGAAGTTCTAGAGAATGCTTCTGTCTAGTTTTTATGTGAAGATATTTCTTTTTCTACCTTAGACCTCATATCACTCCAATTATCCACTTGCAGATTCTACAAAAACACTGCTTCAAAACTGCTCTGTCAAAAGTAAGATTCAACTCTGTGAGTTGAATGCACACATGGCAAAGAAGTTTCTGAGAATGCTTCTGTCTTGTTATTATTAGAAGATATTCCCTTTTCCACCATAGGACTCAAATCACTCCAAGTGAACACTTTCATATTCTACTAAAAGACTGTTTAAAAAGTGCTCTATCAAAATAAACGTTCAAGTCTGTGTGTTGGATGCACACATCACAAAGAACTTTCTGAGAATTCTTCTGTCAAGTTTTATGTGAAGATATACAGTTTCCAAGGAATTCCTCAAAGACCTCCAAATATTCAAAAGCAGATGCTACAAAAGGAGTGTTTCAAAACTGCTCTATCAAAAGAAATGTTCAACTCTGTGATTTGAATGCACACATCACAAAGAAGTTCCTGAGAATGCTTGCCTCTAGTTTTTATATGAAGATATACCCGTTTCCAACGAAGTCCTCAAATATTTCCAAATATCCAATAACAGATTCTACAAAAGGAATGTTTCAAACATGCTCTATCAAAAGAAAGGTTCAACTCTGTGAGTTGAATGCACACATTGCAAAGTATTCTCCGAGAATGGTTCTTTGTAGTTTTTGTGTGAAGATATTTCCTTTTCCACCATGGGCCTCACTGAGCTCAAAACGAACACTTGCTGATCCAATAAAGGAGTGTTTCAAAACTGTTCTATCAAAAGAAATGTTCAACACTGTGAGTTGAATGCATATAAGACAAAGCAGTTTCTGATACTGCCTCTGTCTAGTTTTTATGTGAAGATATTGAAGATATTTCTTTTTCCACCACAGACCTCAAAGCGCTCCAAATGAACACTTGCATATTTCACAAAAAGAGTGTTTCAAAACTGCTCTATCAAAAGAAAGGTTCAAATCCGTTAGTTGAATGTACACATCACCAAGCATTTTCTGAGAATGCTTCTGTCTAATTTTTATGAGAAGATATTCCCTTTTCCACCATAGGCCTCAAATCGCTCCAAATATCAACTTGCAGATTCTACATAAAGACTATTTCAAAACTGCTCTATCAAAAGAAAGGTTCATCTCTGTGAGTTGAATGCACACATCACAAAGAAGTTTCTGAGGATGCTTCTGTCTAGTATTTATGTGATAATATTTCCTTTTCCACCAAAGGCCTCAAAGTGCTCCGAATGAACACTTCAGATTCTGCAAAAAGACTGTTTCAAAACTGCTCTATCAAAAGAAATGTTCAACTCTGTGAGTTGAATGCACACACCACAAATAACTTTCTGAGAATGCTTCTGTCTAGTTTTATTTGAAGATATCCTGTTTCCAACGAATTACTCAAAGAGCTCTAAATATCCACAAGCAGATTCTACAAAAGGAGTGTTTCAAAACTGCTCTATAAAAACGAAGGTTCAAATCTGTGAGTTGAATGTATACATCTCAAAAAAGTTCCTGAGAATGCTTCTGTGTAGTTTCTATGTGAAGATATTCCCGTTTCCAACGAAGTCCTCAAAAATCTCCAAATATCCACTAGGAGATTCTACAAAAGGAGTGTTTCCAATATGCTCTATCAAAAGAAAGGTTCATCTCTGTTACATGAATTCACACATCATAAAGAAGTTCCAGAGAATGCTTCTGTCTAGTTTTTATGTGAAGATATTTCCTTTCCCAGAATAGGCCTCACATTGCTCCAAATATCTACTTGCAGATTCTACAATAACACCGTTTCAAAACTGCTCTGAAAAAAGGTTCACCTCTGTGAGTTGAATGCACACATGGCAAAGAAGTTTCTGAGAATACCTCTGTCTTGTTTTTATTAGAAGATATTCCCTTTCCCACCACAGGCCTCTAATCGATCCAAAAGAACACTTGCAGATTCTACAAAAGACTGTTTCAAAACTGGTCTATCAAAAGAAAGGCTCAAGCCTGTGAGTTGAATGCACACATCACAAAGAAGTTTCTGAGAATGCTTCTGTCTAGATTTTATGTGAAGATTCCCGTTCCCAAAGAATTCCTCAAAGAGTTCCAAATATCCACAAGAAGATTCTACAAAAGGAGTGTTTCAATACTGCTCTATCAAAAGACAGATTCAACTCTGTGAGTTGAATACACACATCTCAAAGAAGTTCCTGAGAATGCCTCTGTCTAGTTTTTATGAGAAGATATATCCATTTCCAACGAAGGCCTCAAACATCTCCAAATATCCACTAGCAGATTGTACAAAAGGAGTGTTTCAAATCTGCTGTATCAAAAGAAAGGTGCAACTCTGTGGGTTGAATGCACACATCACAAAGAAGTTTCTGAGAATGCTTCTCTCTAGTTTTCATGCCAAAATATTCCCTTTTCCACAATAGGCCTCAAATCGCTCCAAATATGCACTTGCAGATTCGATAAAAACACTGTATCAAAACTGCCCTGACAAAAGCAAAGTTCAACTCTGTGAGTAAAATGCACACATGGCAAAGTAGTTTCTGAGAATGCTTCTGTCTAGGTTTTATGTGAAGGCATTCCCTTGTCCACCATAGGCTTCAAATCGCTTCAAATATCCACTTGCAGATTATACAAAAACACTGTTTCAAAACAGCTCTGTCAAAAGGAAGGTTCAACTCTGTGAATTGAATGCACACATCACAATGAAGTTTCTGAGAATGCTTTTGTCTAGTTTTTTATGAGAAGTTATTCCCGTTTCCAACGAAGACCTCAAAGCGCTCCAAATGAACCTTGCAGATTCTACAAAAAGAGTGTTTCAAAAGTGCTCTATCAAAAGAAAGTTTCAACTCAGTAAGCTGAATGCACAGGACACAAAGAAGTTTCTGAGAATGCTTCTGTCTAGTTTTTATTTGAAGATATTCCGGTTTTCCAAAAAGGCCTCAAAAGTCTCTAAAAACCCACTTGCAGATACTACAAAAAGACTGTTTCAAAACTGCACTCTTAAAAGAAAGTTTCAACACTGTAAGTTGAATGCACACATCACAAAGCAGTTTCTGAGAATGCTTCTGTCTAATTTTTATGTGAAGATATCACGTTTGCATCGAATTCCTCAAACAGCTCAAATATCCACAAGCACATTGTACAGAAGGAGTGTTTCAAAACTACTTTATCAAAGAAAGTTTAAACTCTGTGAGTTGAATGCATACAGCAAAAATTTTCTGACAATGCTTCTGTCTAGTTTTCATGTGAAGATATTTTGTTTTCCACCTTAGGCCTCAAATGGCTCAAAATGTCCACTTGCAGAGTCTAGAAAAACACTGTTTCAAAACTACTCTGTCAAAGAGACGGTTCAAATCTGTGAGTTAAATGCACACATGGCAAAGAAGTTTCTGAGAATGCTTCTGTCTAGTTTTTATGAGAAGATATTCTTTTTTCCACCATAGGCCTCAAGTCTCTCCAAATGAACACTTGCAGATTCTACAAAAAGGCTGTTCAAAATCTGCTCTATCAAAAGAAAGGTTCAACTCTGTGAGTTGAATGCACACATCACAGAGAAGTTTCTGAGAATGCTTCTGTCTGGTTTTTAGGTGAAGATATTTCATTTTCCACCATAGGCCATACAGCACTCCAAATGAACGCTTGCAGATTCTACAAAAGGACTGTTTAAAAACTCCACGATCAAAAGAAAGGGTCAACTCTGCGAGTTGAATGCGCACATCACAAAGAACTTTCCGAGAATGCTTCTGTCTAGTTTTTAGGTGAAGATATTTCCATTTCCAACTAAGGCCCCAAAAATCTCCAAATATCCAATAGCAGATTCTAAAAAAGGAGTATTTCAAAACGACTCTATAATAATAAAGGTTCAATTCGGTTAGTTGAATGCACACATCTCAAAAAAGTTCCTGAGAATGCTTCTGTCAAGGTTTTATGTGATGGTATTTCCTTTTCCACTATAGGCCTCAAATCGCTCCAAATATCCACTTGCAGATTCTAAAAAAGACTGATTCAAAACTGCTCTCTAAAAAGAAAGGTTCAGCTCTGTGAGTTGAATGCACACATCAGAAAGAACTTTCTGAAAATGCTTCCATGTAATTTTTATGTGAAGATATCCCGTTTCCAATGACTTCCTGAAGGAGTTCCCAATATACACAAGTGGATTCTACAAAAGGAGTTTGTCAAATCTGCTCTATCGAAAGAAAGTTTCAACTCTGTTAGTTGAATGCACACATCTCAAAGAAGTTCCTGAGAATGCTTCTGTCAAGTTTTTACGTGAAGATATTTCCGTTTCCAACATAGGCCTCAAAGCGCTCCAATTGAACATTGCAGATTCTACAAAAAGACTGTTTCAAAACTGCCCTATCAAAAGAAAGGTTCAACTCTGCTGTGAATGCACACATCAGAAAGAAGTTTCTGAGAGTGGTTCTGTCTAGTCTTTATGTGAAGATAATTCCTTTTCCACCATAGGCCTCAAAGCGCTCCAAATATCCACTGGCAGATTCTGCAAAAAGAGATTATCAAAACTGCTCTTTGAAAAGAAAGTTTCAGCTCTGTGAGTTGAATGCTGACATCACAGAGAAGTTTCTGAGAATGCTTCTGTCTAGTTTTTATGTGACGATATGTCCTTTTCCACCACAGTCTTCAAAGCACTCCGAATGAACACTTGCAGATTCTACAAAAAGACTGTTTCAAAACTGCTCTATCCAAAGGAAGGTTCAGCTCTGTGAGTTGAATGCACACATCACAAAGAACTTTCTGAGAATGCTTCTGTCTAGTTTTTATGTGAAGATATTCCCGTTTCCAAAGAAGGCCTCAAACATCTCCAAATATCCAGTAGTAGATTCTACAAAAGGAGTGTTTAAAACTGCTCCATCAAAAGAAAGTTTCAACTCTGTGAGTTGAATGCACACATCTTGAAGAAGCTCCTGAGAATGCTTCTGTCTAGGTTCTATGTTAAGGCATTCCCTTTTCCACCATA
Source organism: Homo sapiens (assembly GCF_000001405.40). Lineage (NCBI taxonomy): Eukaryota > Metazoa > Chordata > Mammalia > Primates > Hominidae > Homo > Homo sapiens. The sequence goes on along the minus strand of NC_000012.12, from coordinate 37,603,094 downwards.
GGCTTCAAATCGCTCCAAATATCCACTTGCAGATTATACAAATAGGGTGTGTCAAAACTGCTCTATCAAAAGTATGTTTCAACTGTTAGTTGAGTGCACACATCTCAAAGAAGTTCCTGAGAATGCTTCTGTCTAGTTTTCATGTGAAGATAATTCCTTTTCCACCATAGGCCTGAAAGCGCTCAAAATGAACACTTGCAGAATCTACAAAAAGAGTGTTTCAAAATGCTCTTCCAAAAGAAAGGTTCAACTCTGTGAGTTGAATGCACACATCTCAAAGAAGTTCCTGAGAATACCTCTGTCTAGGTTTTATGTGAAGGCATTCCGTTTTCCACCATAGGCTTCAAATGGCTCCAAATATCCACTTGCAGATTATACAAAAACACTGTTTCAAAACAGCTTTGTCAAAAGGAAGGTTCAACTCTGTGAATTGAATGCACACATCACAATGAAGTTTCTAAGAATGCTTTTATCTAGTTTTTATGAGAAGTTATTCCCATTTCCAATGAAGACCTCAAAGCGCTCCAAATGAACACTTGCAGATTCTACAAAAAGAGTGTTTCAAAACTACTCTAACAAAAGAAAGCTTCAACTCTGTTAGTTGAATGCACACGACACAAAGAAGTTTCTGAGAATGCTCTGTCTAGTTTTTATGTGAAGATATTTCCTTTTCCACCATAGGCCTCAAAGCGCTCAAAATGAAGACTTTCAGATCCTATAAAAGGGGTTTTTCAAAACTGCTCTATCAAAAGAAAGCTTCAACTCTGTTAGTTGAATGCACACGACACACAGAAGTTTCTGAGAATGCTTTTGTCTACTATTTATATGAAGATATTTCCTTTTGACCATAGGTCTCAAAGCCTTCCAAATGAACACTTACACATTCTACAAAAAGACTGTTTCAAAACTGCTCTATCAAAAGGAAGGTTCAACTCTGTGAGTTGAATGCCCACATCACAGAGAACTTTCTGAGAATGCTTCTGTCTAGGTTTATGTGAAGATATACCCGTTTCCAACGAAGGTCTCAAAGAGCTCCAAATATCCACTAGCAGATTCTACAAAAGGAGGGTTTGGAAACTGCTCTATTAAAAGAAATGTTTAACTCTTTGAGTTAAATGTACACATCAGAAAGCTGTTTCTGAGGATACTTCTGTCTAGTTTTCATGTGAAGATATACCCTATTGCACCATAGGCCTCAAATCGCTCCAATTATGCAGCTGCAGGTTCTACAAAAACACTGTTTCAAAACTGCTCTGTCAGAAGGAAGGTTCGATTCTGTGTGTTGAATGCACACATGGCAAAAAAAGTTTCTGAGAATGCTTCTGTCAAGTTTTTATGAGGAGTTATTCCCTTTTCCACCACAGGCCGCAAATCGCTCTAAATGAACACTGCAGATTCTACAAAAAGGATGTTTCAAAACTGCTCTATGAAAAGAAAGGTTTAACTCTGTGAGTTGAATGCACACAACACAAAGCCATTTCTGTGAATTCTTCTGTCTAGTTCTTATGAGATGATAATCCCTTTTTTAAGGACGGCCTCAAAATGTTACAAATGAACACTTGCAGATTCTACAAAAAGACTGTTTCAAAACTCCACCAGCAAAAGAAAGGTTCAACTCTGTCAGTTGAATGCACACATCACAGAGAAGTTTCTGGGAAAGCTTCTGTCTAGTTTTTATGTGAAGATATTTCTTTTCCAATGTAGGCCTCAAAGCCCTCCAAATGAACACTTGCGTATTCTACAAAAAGAGTGTTTCAAAACTGCTCTATCAAAAGAAAGGTTCAACTCTGTGACTTGAATGCTTACATCACAAAGAAGTTTCTGAGAATGCTTCTGTCTAGATTTTATGTGAAGATATCCCGATTCCAACAAATTCTTCAAAGAACTCCAAATATCCACAAGCAGATTCTACAAAAGGAGTGTTTCAAAACTGCTCTATCAAAAGAAAGGTTCAACTCTGTGAGTTGAATGGACACAAGACAAAGCAGTTTCTGAGAATGCTTCTGTCTGTTTTTTCGGTAAAGACATTTCATTTTCCACCATAGGCCATAAAGCGCTCCAAATGAACACTTGCAGATTCTACAGGAAGATGGTTTAAAAACTCCACTATCAAAAGAAAGTGTCAACTCTGTGAGTTGAATGCACACATCACAAAGAAATTTCCGGGAACGCTTCTGTCTAGTTTTTAGGTGAAGATATTTACATTTCCAATGAAGGCCTCAAAAATCTCCAAATATCCAATAGCAGATTCTAAAAAAGGAGTATTTCAAAACTGCTCTATCACAATAAAGGTTCAACTCTGTTAGCTGAATACACATCTCAAAGAAGTTCCTGAGAATGCTTCTGTCAAGTTTTTATGTGAAGGTATTTCCTTTTCCACCATAGGCCTCAAATCGCTCCAAATATCCACTTGAAGATTCTAAAAGAGACTGTTTCAAAACTGCTCTCTAAAAAGAAAGGTTCAGCTCTGTGAGTTGAATGCACACATCACAAAGATGTTTCTGAGAATGCTTCCGTGTAATTTTTATGTGAAGATAAACCTTTTCCAACGAGTTCCTCAAGGAGTTCCAAATATCCACAAGCAGATTCTACAATAGGAGTGTGTCAAAACTGCTCTATAAAAAGAAAGTTTCAACTCTGTTAGTTAAATGCACACATCTAAAAGAAGTTCCTGAGAATGCTTCTGTCTAGTTATTATGTGATGATATTTCCGTTTCCACCAAAGGCCTCAATGCACTCCAATTGAACATTGCAGATTCTACAAAAAGACTGTTTCAAAACTGCTCTATCAAAAGAAAGGTTCAACTCTGTGAGTTGAATGCCCACATCAGAAAAAACTTTCTGAGAATACTTCTGTCTAGTTTTTATGTGAAGATATACCCGTTTCCAACAAAGGTCTCAAAGAGCTCCAAATATCCACTAGCAGATTCTACAAAAGGAGTGTTTTAAGACTGCTCTATCAAAAGAAAGGTTCAACTCTTTGAGTTAAATGTACACATCACAAAGCAGTTTCTGAGAATACTTCTGTCTAGTTTTCATGTAAAGATATACGCTTTTCCACCACAGGCCTCAAATCGCTCCAATTATGCACTTGCAGGTACTACAAAAACACTGTTTCAAAACTGCTCTGTCAAAAGAAAAGTTCAACTCTGTGTGTTGAATGCACACACGGCAAAGAAGTTCCTGAGAATGCTTCTGTCTAGTTTATATGAGGAGATATTCCCTTTTCCACCACAGGCCTCAAATCGCTCCAAATGAACACTTGCAGATTCTACAAAAGGATGCTTCAAAACTGCTCTATCCAAAGAAAGGTTCAGCTCTGTGAGTTGAATGCACACATCACAAAGAACTTTCTGAGAATGCTTCTGTCTAGTTTTTATGTGAAGATAGTCCCGTTTCAAACGAAGGCCTCAAACATCTCCAAATACCCAGTAGCAGATCCTACAAAAGGAGTGTTTCAAAACTGCTCCATCAAAAGAAATGTGCAACTCTATTAGTTGAATGCACACATCACAGGGAAGTTTCTGAGAATGCTTCTGTCTAGTTTTTATGTGAAGATATTCCCTTTTCCACCATAGGCCTCAAAGCACTCAAAATGAAGAATTGCAGATCCTATAAAAGGGGTGTTTCAAAACTGCTCTATCACAAGAGAGGTTCAACTCTGTGAGTTGAATGCACACATGACAAAGAAGGTTCTGAGAATGATTCTGTCTAGTTTTCATGTTAAGGTATTCCCTTTCCACCATACGCTTCAAATTGCACCAAATATCCACTTGAAGAATCCACAATATCACTGTTTCAAAACAGCTCTTTCAAAAGGAAGGTTCAACTCTGTGAATTGAATGCACGCATCACAATGCAGTTTCTGAGAATGCTTCTGTCTAGTTTTTATGAGAAGTTATTCCCGTTTCCAATGAAGACCTCAAAGCGCTCCAAATGAACACTTACAGATACTACAAAGAGAGTGTTTCAAAACTGCTCTATCAAAAGAAAGCTTTGACTCTGTTAGTTGAATGCAAACAACACAAAGAAGTTTCTGAGAATGCCTCTGTCTACTATTTATGTGAAGATATTTCCTTTTCACCATAGGTCTCAAAGCGTTCCAAATGAACACTTGCAGATTCTATAAAAGACTGTTTCAAAACTGCTCTATCAAAAGAAAGGTTCAACTCTGTGAGTTGAATGCCCACATCAGAAAGAACTTTCTGAGAATGCTTCTGTCTAGTTTTTATGTGAAGATATACCCGTTTCCAACAAAGGTCTCAAGGAGTTCCAAATATCAACTAGCAGATTCTACAAAAGGAGCGTTTCAAAACTGCTCTATCCAAAGAAAGGTTCAACTCTTTGAGTTAAATATACACATCACAAAGCAGTTTCTGAGAATACTTCTGTCTAGTTTTCATGTGAAGATATACCCTTTTCCACCACAGGCCTCACATAGTTCCAATTATGCACTTGCAAATTCTACAAAAGCACTGTTTCAAAACTGCTCTGTCAAAAGGAAGGTTCAACTCTGTGTGTTGAATGCACACATGGTAAAGAAGTTTCTGAGAATGCTCCTGTCTAGTTTATATAAGGAGATATTCCCTTTTCCACCACAGGCCTCAAATTGCTCCAAATGAACACTTGCAGATTCTACAAAAAGGATGCTTCAAAACTGCTCTATCAAAAGAAAGGTTCAACTCTGCGAGTTGAATGCACACATCACAAAGCCATTTCTGTTAATGCTTCTATCTAGTTTTTATGAGAAGTTTATCCCGTTCTTAATGAAGGCCTCAAAGTGCTCCAAATGAACACTTGCAGATTCTACAAAAAGAGTGTTTCAAAACTGCTCTTCCAAAAGAAAGATTCTGCTCTGTGAGTTGAATGCACACATCACAAAGCTGTTTCTGAGAATGCTTCTGTCTAGTTTTTATCTGAAGATATCCCGTTTCCAATGAATTCCTCAAAGAGCTCCAAATATCCACAAGCAGATTCTACAAAAGGAGTGTTTCAAAACTGCTCTATCAAAGGAAATGTTCAACTCTGTTAGTTGAATGCACCCGTCACAAAGAAGTTTCTGAGAATTCTTCTGTCTAGTTTTCATGTGAAAATATTTCCTTTTCCACCTTAGGCCACTATGGGCTGCAAATATCCAGTTGCAGATTTTGCAAAAAGAGTGTTTCAAAACTGCTCTATCAAAAGAAATGTTCTACTCTGTCAGTTGAATGCACACATCTCAAAGAAATTTCTGAGAATGCTTCTGTCTACTTTTTATTTGAAGATATTTCCTTTTCCAGCATAGGCCTCAAATCACTCCAAATATCCACTTGTGGATTCTTCAGAAAGACTATTTCAAAACTGGTCTATAAAAAGAAAGGTTCAACTCTGGGACCTGAATGCACGCATCATGAAGTAGTTTCTGAGATTGCTTCTGTGTAGTTTTATGTGAAGATATTTCCATTTCCTTATATGCCTCATTGGGCACCAAATATCAACTTGCAGATGCTACAAAAAGTGTGTTTCAAAACTGCTCTTTCAAAAAAAAGGTTCAACTCTGTGAGTTGAATGCACACATCACAAAGAGGTTTCTGAGAATGCTTCTGTCTAGTTTTTATGTGAAGATATTTCCTTTTCCACCGTTGGCCTCAAGGAGCTCCAAGTATCCACTTGCAGATTCTGCAAAAAAAGTGTTTCAAAACTGCTCTGTCAAAAGAAATGTTCAACTCTTTGAGTTGAATGCACAAATCACAAAGAAGTTTCTGAGAATTCTTGTCTCTGCTTTTTATGTGAAGATATTTCCTTTTCCACCATAGGCCTCAAAGGGCTCCAAATATCCATATGCAGAATGTACAACAAGAGTGTTTCAAAACTGCTCTATCAAAAGAAAATTTGAACTCTGTGAGTTGAATGCACACATCACAAAGGCGTTTCTGAGAATGCTGGTGTCTAGTTTTTATGTGAAGATATTTCCTTTCCCAGCATCAGCCTCATAGCGCTCCAAATATCCACTTGCAAATTCTACTAAAAGAGTGTTTCTAAACTGCTCTATAAAAAGAAAGGATCAACTCTGGGAGTTGAATGCACACATCAGAAAGAAGTTTATGAGAATGCTTCTGTCTATTTTTTATGTGAAGATATTTCCATTTCTTTATATATTCTCAATTTGCACTAAATATCACCTTGCAGATTCTACAAAATTAGTGTTTCAAAACTGCACTATTAAAGGAAAGGTTCAACTCTGTGAGTTGAATGCACACATCACAAAGTAGTTTCTTAGAATCCTTCTGTCTAATTTCTATGTTATGATATTTCCTTTTCCACCGTAAGCTTCAATGCACTCCAAATATCCACTTACAGATTCTACAAAAAGAGTGTTTCAAAACTGCTCTATCAAAAGAAAGGTTCAACTCTGTGAGTTGAATGCACTCATCACAAAGATGTTTCTGAGAATCCTTATCTCTTGTTTTTTTGTGAAGTTATTGCCTTTTCCATCATTGTCCTCAAAGGGCTCCAAATATCCAAATGCAGAATCTACAACAAGAATGTTTTAACACTGCTCTATCAGAAGAGAGGTTCTTCTCTGTGAATTGAACGCACACATCACAAAGATGTTTCTGAGAATGTTTCTGTCTTGTTTTTATGTGACGATATTTCCTTTTCCACCATAGGCCTCAAAGCTCTCCAAATATCCACTTGCAGTTTCTACAACAAGAGTGTTTCAAAACTGCTCTATCAAAAGAAAGGTTCAACTCTGTGAATTGAATGCACACATCACAAAGATGTTTCTGAGAATGCTTCTGTCTAGTTTTTATGTGAAGATATTTCCATTTCCTTATATGCCTCAATTTGCACCAAATGTCAACTTGCAGATTCTACAAAAAGAGTGTTTCAAAACTGCACTATCAAAAGAAAGTTTCAACTCTGTGTGTTGAATGCACACATCATGAAGAAGTTTATTGGAATGCTTCTGTCTAGTTTTTATGTTATGATATTTCCTTTTCCATCGTAGGCATCAATGCGCTCCAAATATTGCACAGATGAGGATATTGAAACTCTAAGAGAATATGCAATCTACCCAGAGTCATGCAGCTCGTGTATGTAAGGGTTGGAATGAAAATCCAATCTATGTGATTCCCAAGTCCCCTTCCACCATATGGTTTCCATTTCATTTTGAAATCAGCTTGGCTGGGATATGTTTGCCCTAAAAGATAGTAAGTAGGAATATTTGTCTCTATACATTAATCTGACATCCATGGGCTTGCTTCTTGTATTTGGAGGTGTCATAACATTATAATAGTAATTTGATTTTATTTGAACAGTGAATATTATACTACTCAGTCTAGAGATATATGACATCGCATTCTAAACTGTATGATAGCAATGAAGCTTCTTCAAGGAGACAAGTATGAGTAATAAGGTAGTAATAAGTTGAATTTCTATGGAGTTGCTACTTCTGAATTAAAACTAGTTGAGGTTAAGTAGATATTCAAAAATATTGCTACAATCTTCACTTGAATAATACAAATATTTATTGTTTTACATATTTATTTATTTATGGAACATAGATGTAATTTTAAAACAAAATTTTTGCAAATTGTATTAAAATATATTAAAAACATAATGCATTATGACCCAATAGAGTTTTTCAAAGTCACTCAGTGTTAGTTTAAAGTGTGAAATTCAATCAGTATAATTCACCATAGAATACAGTGTGTATGTCAGTATAATATGTATATCAAAATCGGAAAGAAGTAAATTTATCTTTGTTTTGTAATAAGATGAAATTAAAATTTTAATGAATTTCAACTTTCATTTTAGATTCCGGAGGGTACCTGTGCAGGTTTATTACATGGGAGTATTGTGTGATGCTGAGATTTGGGGTACGAATGAAGGTGTGAGTGCCTGTCTTGAACTTGCACCAAGAGCAATCTCCCCTGATCAGCAGAGGGTAAACTAACTTGAATTACACTTGAATTTCTTAGTAGAGCAGGTCACAAAGGGCAAATTGTGGTCCAGAGACAAAAGTGCTCGATGGTCTGAAATGAGCCTGCCATATCACTGACGGTACAGGTCTTCACAGAAATATATTTTAGAAAGGGGTCAATCCCTTGTTTAAAGATAAATGTAAGCTGAGTGTGGAGGCACACATCTATAATTCCAGCTACTCAGGAGGCTGAGGCAGGAGGATCACTTGAGTTCAGGAGTTTAAGACCAGCCTGGACAACATAGGAAGATCCCATGTCAATTTTTAAAAATGAGAAAAAAATAGATAAACGTAAGCATATTAAAATTTTAAAGAGTTTATTTAAGCAAACAGAGATTCATGGATCAGGCAGTTCCAAACTGAAAGTGGCTGGAGGATCTACTGGAGGTGTTTGTAAGGAAGGCTTTTATAGGGTGAATATAGAAGTAGAGTAGAGAAATTATCTGATTGGCAAAAATGTGGGCAGTTGCATTATTTGAACTATCCTGGTGGTAGGTCTCTCATTACACAGCTAATACTCAGCGGGCCACTTGTTGGTGGGCTAAGCTTGTTTCATTTTGTCTATGTAGGAACCCAGACCATGGGAGCTATCTCAGCCTAATGCTCTCCCATTACGATATTTTACACCTTCTTTCTGTATCAGGGTAAGTGGGGGTCTTCCCCAGGAGGGTTCTTACCACCCTGTTTCCCTCAGCAAAATGAGACTGTCCCTTTTGCCTCTGTAGGCAATCTTCTGAACAAGGCATTCCTGATATTCTTATCTCATCTTATTTTATCTTATCCTCTTCTCTGTACCTTGTTTACATGCTTCTGGAACACTTGTGTGTCTTGCACCCATCTCCTGCCTTATTTAGGCAATCCTAAAAGAAGAACTCTAGGATGGATTGGCAGAGAACTGCTGGCATATTGAGCCCTCTCTCTTTGTATCTGGAACTTTCATAATTACCTTCATTCTCCAGGCCAATTTTGCACTTATCTTTGTTCTCCACTTCAAAATACATTTACCTCTGACAGAAGCTGAGTTCATAAAAGGGACCTTGTCCAGTGGTACTTATGAGGCAGGAGACATGATATAGTTAAAATTATAAACTGCAATCAATATATAGTTATATACTATATGTAATCACTATATCACTCCCGGGTTCAAGTGATACTCCTGCCTCAGCCTCCCGAGTAGCTGGGATTACACTCATGTGCCACCACACTCGAAAAATCGTATATGTTTTAAAATAGGAATAGATTTTCTAAGCTAAACTGAAGGAAATGCTAAGGAAAGAGTGAGATTTGACTTGATAATTATGTGTCTGAATGAATCAGCCAATTAATAAAATGAAAACAGGCTGGGGACAGTGGTGCATGCCAGTCATCCCAGCAATTTGGAAGGCCAATGTGGGCAGATCACTTGAGTCTAAGAGTTTGAGACCAGCCTGAGCAACATATCAAAACCCCGTCTCTACAAAGAATACAAAAATTAGCCAGGTGTGGTAGCTCATGCCTGTAGTTCCTGCTACTTGGGAGGCTGAGGTAGCAGGATCACCTGAGCCTGGAGATGTAGAGGCTGCAGTGAGCTCTGATCATGCCACTGCACTTCCAGCCTGGGTGACAGAGTGAGACCTTGTCCCAAAGAAGCTAAACTAAAATGAAATGAAAACAAACACAAGACAAAAATTGATGAACTTCTTATTTTAACACATAGCATGATGAACACACATAGATAACAATACTAAGCCAATGGGTTTTTGTCAGTCAAACTCATGGTCACTAGTCTAAAGGAAATAAGAATGACTGTGAATTAACAACCATTTACAACATTAGAAATACAAAATACAAATTATCATCAGATATCTCAGACTCACAATTATTTGACCTTTTAAGAATTCATCCTGCTCTCCGTAATAAATAAGAAAATATTGATAACACTTTTTTCCCTTAACTTAACCCTTCATGCTCCTGAATCTCTGATTTGTGTTTACATCTTAACACTCTTTTTTTTGTAATTATTTTCTGCAGCTTTTTTCTCTTCACTTGAGGCATCTCTTATAGTCTCTTTACACTTTTCCACAAACGACTCAATTTTTTTCATAAGCTTCATTGATGAGTTCCATGTATGTGATGACAGTGTAATGATAAATTATCCATGTGGTTTCCCTCCAGTCTTGTTCATTATTCAAGTGACTCTCCTTGGTTTAGCAACAGGCTAAGAGGTCTCTATGATATTTTGTTCAGGTTAAGCAGAAAGAAGAAAACAAAATCTACATTCTCTTTTTTATATTTTAAACACAAGCCAACAAATAATTTTGAAGGAACCATGATTAGAGAGGGAGGATTTTATGCTCCTTCAAGAGTAATTGAGATTGTTTAATTGTATGGAGGAATGAGCATATCTCAAGGGGAACCGAGAAGATATAATATTTGGATGACAGAATCATTAAGAACTGGCTTTGCACCCTGGCTACACCATTACACACAGGAGATATTAGGGTGCAGTGGTGCATGCCTGTAATCCCAGCACTTTAGGAGGCTGAGACAGGTGGATCACCTGAGGTCAGGAGTTCAAGACCAGCCTGACAAACATGGTGAAACCCCATCTCTACTAAATACAAAAAATTAGCTGGGTGTGGTGGCACATGCTTCTAATCCCAGCTACTTGGGTGGCTGAGGTAGGAAAATCACTTGAACTTGGGAGGCGGAGGTTGCAGTGAGCTGAGAGAGTACCATTGCACTCCAGCCTGGGCAACAAGAGTGAATCTCTGTCTCAAAAAAAACCCCAAAAAAACAAAAATCACTGCCCCACCAACTTTTTCACATAGGATGATTAAGGATTCCAGAGCCCATGCTACCTCTAAGGGCTCCTACCCCTGCCACACCACACATATCTTGACAGGGCCTGTTATGGAGAAGAAAATGCCCAGTAAATTAATATCACAATCATTGCCACATACCCACCAAAAGACTCAAATTAAAATTTTGACAAAATTAAGTGCCAAGAAGAATGCGAAGAGTTGGGAGTTATCAGACATTGTAAGACTGTCAGTTGGTGTGTTAACATTGAGATGAAACCAATAATACCTGGTAAAACTGAAGATATGTTTGCCCTGTAACCTATGGTTTCACCTCTTGGTTTATACTGTACATAAATACACACTAATTGTAACCAAATAGAAATACAAACATATTCACAATAACATCATTTGTAACTGACAAAAATGAACACAACCCACATGACCACCAACAATGAAGGGTTACACACTGGTGTACTGTATTTTTATTTATTTATATTTTTTATATTTATTTTATGTATATAAATATAAATTTATATATTTTTTGAGACAGAGTCTTGCTTAGTCGCCCAGGTTGGAGTGCAGTGGTGCGATCTCGGCTCACTGCAACCTCCGCCTCTCGTGTTCAAGCAATTCTCCTGTCTCAGCCTCCCCAGTAGCTGGGATTACAGGCGCTTGCTGCCAACTCCCAGTAAATTTTTGTATTTCTAGTAGAGATGGGGTTGCACCTTGTTGGTAAGGCCGGTCTCAAACTCCTGTCCTGAGGTGATCCACCTATCTTGGACTCCCAAAGTGCTGGGATTACAGGTGGCAGGCACTGTTCCTGGGCTTTTTTTTTTTTTTTTTTTTTTTTGTGAGACTGTCACTCTATTGCATAGGTTGGTGTACAGGGCGCGATTTTGGCTCACTGCAACCTCCACCACCTCCCAAGTTCAACTGATTCTCCTGCCTTAGCCTCTCAAATAATTGGGATTACAGGCGCACACCACCACACCTGGCTAATTTTTTTTTTTTAGCAGAGTCTAGTTCTGTCACCCAGGCTGGAGTGCAGTGGTGCAAACTCAGCTCACTGCAACCTCTGCCTCCCAGATTCAAGTGAGCTCCAGCCTCAGCCTCCTGAGTAGCTGAGACTACAGGTATGTGTTACCACACCTGGCTAATTTTTTGTATCTTTAGTAGAGATGTGGTTTCACCGTGTTTGCTAGGATTGTCTCCATCTCCTGACTTCGTGATCCACCTGCCTTGGCCTCCCAAAGTGCTAGATTACAGTCATTAGCCACCACGTGGCCTAATTTTTGTGGTTTTCATTGAGATGGAGTTTCACCATGTTGGCTAGGGTGGTCTGGAACTTCTGACCTCAAGTGACCTGCCTGCCTCGGCCTCCCAAAGTGCTGGGATTATAGGCATGAGCCATCATGCCTGGCTGGTGTACTGTTTTAATAAAAAGCAGAAACAATGCTAAGTGTGAATCTTAAATACTTAATATTGAGTAAAAGGGACCAGATGCACCAGGATACAGATTTTTACTCCAATTATGTAAGAGAAAAACCAGGCAAAATCAGACTTTACTTTAGGCATATAAAAAATGCATAATAAGGCCAAGCACTGAGGTCACAAGTTCTAAACAAGCCTGACCAACATGCAAAACCCCATCTCTACTACAAATACAAAAATTATCCAGGCATGGTGGCACATGGTCCATGCCTGTAATCCCAGCTACTTGGGAGGTTGAGGCATGAGAATCACTTGAATCTGGGAGCCAGAGGTTGCAGTGAGTCAAGATCATGCCACTAAACTCCAACCTGGGTGACAGAGTGAGATTGCATCTCCAAAAAAAAAAAAAAAAAAAAGATATAAAATACATAATAAAATTATACAGAGAACCAAGGAGAGGATGGCTGATATCCACAGGTAATGTGGATATCATATCTGTTACTAATAAGGGGAAGGAAGACTTTAGCATCAGTTAGGGGCATACAGAGGACTTCTCGGTGGTGATAGTGCTCTATTTCTTCACCTGGATAGTTATCACACAGATGTTTATTTAATAACTGATGTAACCATATCTTTGTTTGTATATTTTAAAATAAGAATGAAACAGAGAAAAGGAAGGTGAATGGAAAGAGATTTCTCCATTCATCAAAATTTTAAAGTCATATTTTTCCTCAGGTTCTTCTCCAAGCTCAGTCTGAAATGGTGAAAGCAGCCAAGCGTGGTGGCTCATGCCTGTAATCTCAGCATTTTGGGAGGCTGAGGTGGACGGATCACCTGCGGTCAGGAGCTAAGACCAGCCTGGCCAACATGGTAAACCCCCATCTCTACTAAAAATACAAAAATTAGCTGGGTGTGGTGGCAAGCACCTATAATCCCAGCTACTCGGGAGGCTACAGTGAGCTGAGATCACACCACTTGACTCAAATGAGTGAAACTCTGTCTCAAAACAAAACAACAACAACAATGACAAAGAAAACAAGAAAACATCCTCAATAATAGAGGACTTATTAAACTAGGGTGCAGCCACTAGTCTGTGTCTTGTGTCTTGATTTATAGATTAAGAAAATGATGACCCTCCCTAGGTACTGATTTAGAGTGACATTTCTGTGAAAATAGATAAATACTTACATATCCATAGAACACATATATGTATTTAAAACTGTATATGTGTATGACATATACATACATATTTGTGTGTATGGCATCTGCATCCTTGTATGTTTAAATATGATCTGGCAATTGGAATCTTTTGTATATACCCAAATATTTGAAAACTTACATCCACTCAAATGCCGCACATGAATGTTTATAGCAGCTTATACACAACTGACAAAGATTGGAAGTAACCAAGATATCTTATAATAGAGAAATGGATAAACTAACTCTGAAACATTCATACAATGGAATATTCTTCAGGAATAAAAGGAAATGAACTACCAAGGCATGAAAAGACATGGAGGAATCTTAAACATGTATTTCTAAGTGAAAGAAGCCAATACAAAAAGACCACATACTATACAGTTCCAGTTATATGGAATACAAGAAAAGGCAAAACTAGGCAGATGCTATTATAAAAAGTTCAGTGGTTGCCAGAGGCTTGAGCAGAAGGAAGGATGAATAGGTGGAGCACAGAAGATTTTTAGGGCAGTGAAACTTTTCTGTGTGACCCTATAATGGTAGATATATGTTCTTAAGCATTTGTCAAAGCCCATAAATGGTAGAAGACAGAGAGTGAGTCTTAATATTAGCCATGAACTTAATAATATCACTACTGGCTCATCAAGCATAACAAATTACCACACTAACAAGATGATAATAGAGGAAGTGTGTGTACTATGATGTGGGGTGGATATTAGAGCTCAATATGCCTTCTGCTCTATTTTTCTGTACACCTACAACTGTTCTAAAAATTAAGTCAGTTATTTATTTATTTATTTATTTATTTTTATTGAGATGGAGTCTCACTCTGTCACCCAGGCTGGAGTGCAATGGCCTGAACTTGGCTTATGGCAACCTCTGCCTCGCGGGTTCAAGCGATTCTCCTGCCTCAGCCTCCTGAATAGTTGGGATTACAGGCACCATCCACCATGCCTGGCTAATTTTTTGTATTTTTAGTTGAGACGGGGATTCACTGTGTCAGCCAGGATGGTCTTGATCTGCTGACCTCATGATCCACCCGCCTTGGCCTTCCAAATTGCTTGGATTACAGGCATGAGCCACCGCACCTGGCCTTATTTATCTTTTTGAGACAGGGTTTAGCTCTGTCACTCAGGCTGGAGTACAGTGGTGCAATCATGGCTCAATGCAGCCCCAAACTCCAGGGCTCAAGTAACCCTCCCACCCCAGCCTCCTGAGTAGCTGGGACCACAGGCATGTGTCACCATGCCCAGCACATTTCTTAGACCTCTGAAAAGATGCTCAACACCATATGTCACTAAGGGATTCAAATTAAAACAACGATGTGATACCATTACACATCTCTTAGACTGGCTTGAATGCAAACACCAACACCAAATGCTGATGAAGATATGGAGCGACAGGAACTCATCTCTCTTTCTGCTGAGAACGCAAAGTGGGACAGCCACTGTGGAAGGCAGTTTTGTAAGTTCCTGCCAGACTAAACATACGCTTACCATACGATCTGGCGAAAAAATGAAATTTTAAAAATATATTTTATATACTTAAAACATATACATTTAAAATATATATTTTATATATATTTTAAAAGTATATATATTTCTATTTTTTGTAGAGACAGTCTCTACAGACTATAGCCTTCAGAATCTATTAATTTTAAAAGCATTTTAAACTATTGAACAAGATATTATTTGAAGAGTGAAAAAATGATAGAGTATTGATTGTTAAATTCTAAATGTTATATATTACATAATTTGGATTAATTTTAAATTCCAAAAAGTGAAACTTTAAAACATATTTTAAAAATTTCCTAATCTGAAATCAATCCTAGTTCAACACATTCAAGAGCTGATTTCAGAGGAGAGATAAGTGTTCAACAAGTTCTTAGGTTTTGACTTTGTTTTCCGACTATTTGTGTTTGTGAATGGTGAATTTTTAGATATTGTTTCTTTCTTCTTAGGGTATTGACTAATATTTTATTAAGCCAGAGAGACAGTACATTAGAATTATCTGTTTGTCCTTTTTATCTGTTATAAATATTTCCTCCAAATTCACTTATCTAAAGTTTTTGGTTTATTTAGTCGGGCGTGGTGTCTTACGCCTGTAATATCAGCACTTTTGGAGGCTAAGGTGGGAGATCACTTGAGGTCAGGAGTTCAAGACCAGCCTGGAAAACATGACAAAACCCTGTGCCTACTACCATACAAAAATTAGTTGGGTGGCTGGGTGTTTTGGCTCACTCCTATAATCCTAGCACTTTGGGAGGCCAAGGTGGGCAGATCACCTGATGTTGGGAGTAAAGAAACAGAGAGTAAAGAATTTCTGAGACCAAAAAGTCTGAGAACAGTTGCTCAATATATTCATTCAACAAATATTTGTCTCTTTACCCCGTGCATGGTACAGTTCTAGGCTCTGGGGATAAATAGCAGTGAACAAAATTGACAATATCTCCTGCTCTCATCAAGTTTACATTCTAGTGGACATAATATAAGAACAGAGATGATTTGTCCAAAAGCAGTCCGGGCACAGTGGCTCATGCCTCTAATCCCAACACTTTGGGAGGCCGAGGCAGGGAGATCACTTGAGGTCAGGAGTTCGAGATCAGCCTGGCCAATATGGTGAAACCCTGTCTCCACTAAAAATACAAAAATTAGCCAGGGCTGGGTGTGGTGGCTCACCCCTGTAATCCCAACACTTTAGGAGTCCGAGGTGGTTTGCATCACCTGAGGTAAGGAGTTCAAGACCAGCCTGGCCAACATGGTGAAACCCCATCTCTACTAAAATACAAAAAAAAAAAAAAATATTAGCCAGGCTTGGTGGCAGATGCCTGTAATCCCAGCTACTTGGGAGGCTGAGGCAGGAGAATCGCTTGAACCTGGGAGGCGGAGGTTGCAGTGAGCTGAGATCACACTAATGCAATCCAGCCTGGGTGACAGAGCGAGACTCCATCTCAAAAAAAAAAAAAAAAATGTTTTAAGTGCTATGGAAAAAAAAAGGAAGCAGTAAATAGTTTCAATTTCAGAGAGGATGATCTCTGACAAGGCAAGAATCATGTTAAGACATGAAGAAAATTAAGACAATGATCCTTACAGGTATATGGAGGAAGAGCTTCTTTTCTTTCCTTTTCTGTTTTATTTATTTATTTATTTATTTATTTTTTTAGACAGAGTTTCACTCTTGTTGCCCAGGCTGCAGTGCAATGGCACCATCTCAGCTCATTGCAACCTCCACCTCCCGGGTTCAAGTGATTCTACTGCCTCAGCTACTCCCCCGAGTGAAAGGTGACCAAGAGAGCCATTGAAAATAGTGAGAGTGGCCGAGTGCCGTCCCAGCACTTTGGGAGGCTGAGATGGGTGGATCATGAGGTCAGGCGTTCGAGGCCAGCCTGGCTGAGAGGGTGAAACCCCATCTCTACTAAAAATTCAAAAATTAGCCAGTCGTGGTGGCATGCCCCTGTAATCCCAGCTACTGCAGAGGCTGAGGCAGAAGAAACACTTGAATTTGGGAGGTGGAGGTTGCAGTGAGCCCAGATCATGCCACTGCACTCTAGCCTGGGTGACAGAGCAATATTCCGTCTCAAAAAAAAAAAAAGAAAAGCAAAGAAAAAGAAAATGGTGAGAGCACCATGTTTGAAAAGTGGTCCAGGCACCGGGCTAAGGGGTGAGTGTCAGCCAAGTCATCAGCTATCAGAACAGGAAGCCATCAGGTAATATATCAAGTTGATATATTGAGAAGGAGCAGGATCTACCTATTATATAATATAGAAATAAGCACTCAGATATATAGATTAAAAATAGTTTAGAAAATTTAAACATTTGATTATTCAGGAAGTAGACCTGGGAGCATTGGAGAAACAGGGTGGGGGAGTAGACTGCATGAAAAACTCTTAGTTTGTGATTTTTCAATTATGCACATAGGTTTCTTACATAACATGGAAAATTCAATTAAAAAGAGACAACATTGTGTTCTGATGTCCCAAATGTTTAGTGATTAATTAGAAAGACTCACAAAACCGAGTGAAGCTGTTATACTCTTAGTTTATTACAACAAAAAGATACAGATAAAATCAGCAGCAGAAAAAGGTGCACAGGACAGAGTCCAGGAGAGACAAAGCACAAGCTTCCAGTTGTCCTCTCCCAGTGACATCGTGTGGACAGTGCTTAATTCACCCAGCGATATGTGGCAAAAAGTATGGAATATACTCCCCAACAAAAAGCTTACCTGAGCCTTGGTGTTGAGCATTTTACCGGAGGTTGGTCACATGGACAAGAACACCCATTTGGATGACCTTAGTTTCTCTGTCTCCACCCTTCCCAAGGTCAAGCTGACACTTCATGGTCCAAGGTCCCCATAATAAATCACGTTGTTAACTCCCAGATAGGCAGGAGATTCCAAGGACTTAGAGGTTATTTCCTGGGAGCTAAGATAGAGTCAAACCTTTCTTTGGAGTATGCCAGGTTTGAGCAATTCAGGCCTATGAAGTTTCCTTGACTGCACACAAGTGATAGTATATAGGAAATAAGTAGTAGCATATTGCTGGTGAAAGTAGAGTGTTATATACCCCTTTGGAAAGAAATCAAGTGTGTATCACATAAACATTATATTTGGTTTGTTTTTGTTTTTGTCTGAGACAGGGTCTCACTCTATCACCCACACTGGGGTGCAGTGGCATGATCACAACTCACTGCAGCCTCGACCTCCCAGGCTCCAGCTATCCTCCCACCTCAGTCTCCTGAGTAGCTGGGACCACAGGCACCTGCAAGTACACCCAGCTAATTTTTGTGTTTTTTGTGCAGATAGGGTTTCACCATGTTGCCCAGGCTGATTTCAAACTCCCGGGTTCAAACAATCCCCTACCTCAGCTCCCCAAAGTGCTAGGATTACAGGAGTGAGCCACTGCACCCAACCTATATTTGTATATACATTAAATTGTATATGTTAGGCCGGGCATGGTGGCTCATGCCTGTAATTCCAGCATTTTGGGAGGCCAAGGTGGGCAGATCACTTGAGGTCAGGAGTTTCAGAGCAGCCTGGCCAACATGGTGAAAACCTGTCTCCACTAAAAAAACATAGTTAGCTGGACATGGTGGCAGGTGCCTGTATTCCCAGGTACTCAGGTGGCTGAGGCAGGAGAATCACTTGAACAAAGCAGTGGAAGTTGCAGTGAGCCAAGATCATGCCACTGCACTCCAGCCTGGATGAGAGAGCAAAACTCCATCTCAAAAAACAAAACAAAAAAATTGTATATGTTATTGTATGTATGTGTATATATTAAGTTGTATATACACATATTAAATATATATACATATATTACACTTTATACACGTACACTTGTTTCCTCATGCAATATGTTTCAGCAGAAGTAAAAATTAATAAAGATATAAGTAAAAGAATATTTACAGAAGCACTATTTTTGGTGGCAAAAGTACTTTAATATCTTAAATGTTCGTATAATGAAAGATACTTTAACTCTTACAAAGAATGAGTTAGCTTTTTATCTACTATAAAGGTATCCTAATATCTTTATAGCTAAAGTGGTATATGTGGCAAATTGTTATATTAAAAAAGGAGAATGCTTCATAATTAAAGAAAAAAGAAAGAAACGTTATATAGTAGCCCTTCCTTATCTGCAGGAGACGTGCTCTAAGACCTGCAGTGGATGCCTGAAACTTGGGTAGCATTGACCCAATTGCTGTCAATCAGAACACATTTCTGTTTATGATTTCCACACGCAAATTTAATGCCTTTTTCATCTTAACTAAGCACTTATCACACACGTGACTGTACTTTTTAGAGCTTGGGGTGCAACACACAAGACTAACAGAAATTTCTTTTTCCTTCTTACATTTTCACCGCTAGAGGATTTGTTCTTACCATCTATTGTAGCACCCTGAGCACACGACTTCTCTCTTTTTCTTTCTTTCTTCCTTTCTTTCTCTTCCTTTCTTTTCTTTTCTTTCTTCTTTCTTTTTCTTTCTTTCATCTTTCTTTTTTTCTCTTTATTTTATGTATTTACTTATTTATTGAGATGGAATCTCAGTCTGTCACCCAGGTTGGAGTGCAGTAATGCGATATTGGCTCACTGCAACCTTCACCTCCTGGGTTCAAGAGATTCTCGTGCCTCTGCCTCCCAAGTAGCTGGGATTAAGGTGCTCACCACCACGCCCAAATAATTTTTGTATTTTTTGTAGCAATGGGGTTTCACCATGTTGGCCAGGTTAGTCTTGAACTCCTAACCTCAAAAGATCCACCCGCTTCAGTCTCCCAAAGTGCTGGGATTACAGGCATGAGCCATCATGCCTGGCCTGTATATTCTGCTGTTTTCTGGCCAATACTTATATGAATCTTGGAGAACATCATGGAAAGATGCTCATCATCTTGTTAACTGGTTATTTCAAGAGTGGAACTGGAGGGGGAATACTGCCTTTCCTGTGTATTTATTTGTAATGTTTCATTTTCATTATGAACATGTATTATTTTAGTATGTTTAAATATTAATAAAGACAGGTAAATATATGTAATTTTAATTCAAGTTGAAATCCTCAAGCAATCACACATAATTAAATAGATGGAGGAAAGAAAACATTTAAAATCCCTGAAGGAAAAGGAGGGAAGTCCGGGCAAGGAGGCTCATGCCTATGTCAGCAATTTGGGAGGCCAAGGAAGGTGGATCTCTTGGGGTCAGAAGTTTGAGACCAGGTTAGCCAACATGGTGAAACCCTGTCTCTACTGAAAATACAAAAATTAGCCAGGCGTGATGGCATGTGCCTGTAATCCCAGCTACTTGGAAGGTTGAGGAGGGACAATCGCTTGAATCCGGGAGGCAGAGGTTGCAATGAACTGAGATTGTGCCACTGCAGTTCAGCCTGGGTGACAGAGTGAGACTCTGTGTCAATCAATCAATAAAAGGAGGGGGAAAAACACAAGTAAAAAATAAGTGATTCAAAAGTAGCAATGTACCATAATGCTTAAATTTGTGGGATTGGCGGGGTGTGATGGTTCCCGCCTGTAATCCCAGCACTTTGAGAGGCCAAGTTGGTTCGATCACCTGGTCAGGAGTTCGAGACCAGCCTGACCAACACTGTGAAACCCTGTCTCTACTAAAAATAAAAAATTTAGCAAGGTGTGGTGGCAGAAACCTGTAGTCCCAGCTACTAGGGAGGTTGAAGCAGGAAAATCACTTGAACCTGGGAATCAGAGGTTGCAGTGAGCTGAGATTGCCCCACTGCACTCCAGCCTGGGTGACAGAGTGAGACTTCCTCCAAATAAATAAATAAATAACACTTTGTGGAACCAATTCCAATCGAGTCCAGGGGAGCACACACTGGCGATCAACATCCCCCTTCAGGTCCCTTCAGGGTCAAGAGAGTGCATCTGGAACAGACTGGGAAACTCCAGCAGGCAAAGTAAGGTGTCAGGAATAGACACCACCTGACACATTCTCCATGTTCCCTCCACCCACCCCTCTACCCACCAGGCTTCCATCGGGCTCCAATTCTGCACTGTCCCAAAAAACCTCAGATTGAAACATTGCAAGGAAGACACTAATACTCAAAGTCACAGGCTTAGGAATCTGAGCTACAAAGAAAAATGAGCCCCTGCTCCCCCAACTGCCCGGTACTCCGCTCAGCACTGCCGCCCTGCACCTGCCCCCTCCTCCATAATTTGAACTGTCCTCACAGAAGCTGAAGAGACGGCCTGCCTGTCAGGAAAGAGAGGACCAGCATGTGGCAAATGCCTGGGGTATGTAGGAGCAGATGGTGAGTTTAGCACAGGGATGTAAGAAACAATTGGCTCTCAGCCCAAAGAAGACTCTGCGGGAGATGGCACATTAAGCCTTCATAGGGGCGTGTGCTGGACAAGAGCTCCCCATTTACCGAAATAATTATCTGAGAAAGGCTCTGATATGACACGAAACGCCCTTGGATCCCATGGCAACGCCTCAGCGTCTGGCAGTAACAGGCTTCTGTGCCCAGAATCTCTAGGTCTGGAGGTCCTGCCTTCACCAGCCTCTCACAAACCAGAGGTACCTCCCATTGGCGCCTGATGGATTAGGGAGGCTGTTCTTCCAGCTGTGACAGATCCAGCCTAGGAGCGCTCCTGGGTCATCTTAGTTGTTTCTTCCCGCACACCTGCCACTCAAAGCCACAACCCACTTGCACGCCACCTTGAGGACACCTTAAAATGACCGTCTAGATCTGAACCGCGCTGAGGGAATGGTCAGCTTTATTCCCACTAGATGGCTTGGCCCGAAGGACCTAGTGACCATCCAGACAAAAATTTCTTCCTAAAAGCTGCATGTGTCTGTGGTCTCTAAGAGGCAAAACTAAACCCTAAAGAAAAAGCCAACCCACCCCCACCTCCACCACAAAACAAAAACAAAAACAAAACCCACCGCCAACCCACCTTTCATGTGAGGAGTCCTTGAGAAGGGCCTCTCCAGCCAGGACCAGGCAAGGGAATCTGTGCACTTGGCCAGACCCAGAACACACAGTGTCAGGGACCTGACTGTCACACTCTGACCCCATAGAATTTCCACCACTGACACACAGATCAGGATGTGTCAGCCTGAGAAATGACACCACAAATCTGGCTTTCAAAGATTGATTCCACACACATCCCATCACTGACACCAGATTCCCTCATCACTGACCCTACATACCCACAAGAATTGATTCCATGGACCTCATCACTATCCCAAAGACCACCCATCACTAATCTACAGATCGTCATCTCTCACCCCAGGAACCCCACAGATTCCCCATCCCTGATTCCAGGATCTACAGAACCTCATCTCTTACCCCCACAGACCTATTAATAAAAGGATACATTCAAAGGAGACTTTGATGACCATTTTACACAGCCGTTGTGTGTGTGTGTGTGTGCTGATTAATGGACTTAGGTAAACTTTAGTGTTTTGGTAGGCAATGCAATTTTTCAATGCCTTTTCTTGCTTTTTCTTGTACATCTTTAAAGGCCTTACACCAGTAAGTGTGTATGGCAGTTTATTAATGCCTATCCCTTATTAAGTCCTTGTCATGCATATTTGTTATTAATCATAATTCACAATTCTTATAATTCAGAGATACCAGAGATTCACATAAGAAGAATGGCTTTGGGTTTTTATTTATTAATTTATTTATTTGTTTTGGTTTCTGTAGATTAAAAAATTCATTCATTTGTATTAAGTCACTAAGTGTATACTTCGTTTTCTAAAAAAAATTCCAATTAATTTTTTTTTTTTTAAGACAGGGTATCGCTCTGTCACCCAGGCTGGAGTGCAGTGGTATAATCAAGGCCACTGTAGCGTCAACCTCCTGGGCTCAAGTGATCCTCCCTCCTCAGCCTACATAGTAGCTGAGACCACAGGCATGCACCAATATGCCCACCTAATTAAACTTTTTTTTGTAGATATGTGTGTCTCACTATGTTACAGAGACTGCTCTTGAACTCCTGGGCTCAACTGATCCTCATACCTTGGCCTCCCAAAGTGTTGAGATTACAGGTTTGAGCCACTGTACTCATCTGATAAAATCTTAAAAAGACTAAAATACTTTGGGACCTAATGTAAAATTTCCACTGAGATGATGCGTCAGAAATTAAGGTAGAATAAGATGACCCTAGGGCATCAGAACAACAGAAACTAAATCTTGGGCTGGGTGCGGTGGCTCATGCCTGTAATGTCAGCAATTTTGGAGACCAAGGTGGGGGACTCACTTGAGGTCAGAAGTTTGAGACTAGTCTAGCCACCATGGTGAAACACTGTCTCTACTAAAAATACAAAAATTAGCCTGGAGGTTGCACTGAGCCAAGATTGTGCCAATGCACCCCAGTCTGGGCAACAGAGGGAGATTCTGTCTCAAAAAAAAATAAAAAAAAGAAAAGAAACAAAATCTTAATTTATTTATCAAATGTAAAAAATATGGACTGGACTCTGGAGGAATAATACATAAAAAGACACATAGGCACTATTTTTTTGACGTTTTATTGAGAAATATTGATAACATACCACAGAAGCCACTGATTTAAAGTGTAAAATTCAATGGTTTTCAGTATATTTACACTGTCATGCAAACATCACCACAATAAATTTTAGATCATTTTCATTACCCTGAAGTAAACCCCATATCCCTCCATTTTCCCCCAACTCCCCTAACCCTGGGCCACCACGAATCTACTTTCTGATTCTATGTATTAGGCTATTTTGGACACTTTATTTAAATGGAATTACATAACATGTGGTCCTTTGTGACTGGCTTCTTTCACTTAGCACAATATTTTCAAGGTTTATTCAATCTTGCATGTGCAGAGGGCACACTTTACATAAGGATAAACCGGCGGTGGGGGGTGCTTACTGATTGATTTTGAAACTTCCCTCCAAAATTGTAAAGGGAAATGATTGGTTTCAAATAGAGGAAAAACCTATTCAGGCTAAAATCCTGTTTTCAGCAGATTTTAATGTGGGGTCTTATTGCAAAGAATGACAAGATTTTTAGGCTTATTTTCTGCAAATTTTCCCTGTGTTTGGGTAACAGTCACAGAATGTGGAGGAATGGGCTTCTAGGCTCTGTGGCTGGGGATTCGCATCCAGGAGAACTCAGGTCCCAGGGCAGGCAGAGAAAAACAGTGTAAGAGTGCCAACAGAATGCTTTGAAATGGAAAATTTCAAATATTCCCTCCAAGGGCGTCCCAGATAACCACACAAAAGAGGACTTTGCTGGGCAGGTCAATTGCAATTGTTCAATAATGAGATACAGACAGACTGGGAAGGAAAGAAGTTTATTTCTGCAGCCACTTACAGGGAGAAGCGCCAGGTAACTCACCAGATCAACTCAAAGTTACAAGTTTTCTTTTTTTTCTAGTGCTTATATACATCTTAAGCTCCATGTGGGATTTCACCTACAAGCAGGAGTGTTTCATTCCATCAACATCTAATCTTTAACTCGGGTCTAGCGTCTGGAAAGATTTCTCTAGAGTCTTGGAAAGTTTCTGAATCTTAAGACAGGCCGAGGTGAATGTGTACGAATGCTATCATTATTCGATCAGACTTTAGGGTCTGAGAAAACCCAGGCGGGGTCTCAATGGGTTTCTTTTCACATTCCATCCCTGATACTCAGGTACCAGTTTCTCCATTTCATTAACGTTAACTTATGCATTCATCAAAATTATAGTAAAGGGTTAGTAGAAACTGTTCTGGTTGCTATTGGAAACCTGGCCTGCCACAGGCACTGAAACCTACTACAGAACATTGAAAATGCCTGCAAACACTGACTTTACTGACCAGTCAATGAAATTGCAGAAAAGCAAGCTCAGGCTGTCTCCCTGATCTGTCCTCCAGAATTGCTAGTTAGAAACGTGCACTTTGTCCTAGGTTCAGTTTTACAAAGATGGAGCCTGGCAGTGAAAGCCTTTGTTTGAGTTCATGCATTAAGGTTTGCTGTGTCTATTTCTTTTATATTCATTTATTTATTTATTTACTTTTTTTTTTTTGAGATGGAGTTTCAATCCTCTTGCCCAAGCTGGAGTGCAATGTGGCAGTCTCGGCTCACTGCAACTTCCGCCTCCTGGGTTGAAACGGTTCTCCTCTCTCAGCCTCCCAAGTAGCTAGAATTACAGGCATGCTCCACCATGCCCGGCTAATTTTTGCATTTTTAGTAGAGATGGGGTTTCACCATGTAGGCCAGGATGGTCTTGAACTCCTGAGCTCAGGCAATCCACCCGCCTCGGCGTCCAAAGTGCTGTGATTACAGGCATGAGCACCCTCGGCTGTCCTATTTTATTTTAAGATGGAGTCTCGCTCTGTCGCCCAGGCTGGAGCGCAGTGGCACGAGCTCGGCTCACTGCAACCTCTGTCTCTGGGATTCAAGCGATTCTTGTGCCTGCTCCTCACAAATAGCTGGGATTACAGGCGCCAGCCACCATGCCTGGTTAATTGTTTATTTTTAGTAGAGACGGGGTTTCACCACGTTGGCCAGACTGGTCTCGAACTTCTGACCTCCAGTGATCCTCCGCCTCGGCCACCAAAAGTGCTGGAATTACAGGCGTGAGCCAACATGCCCGGTCCCATTTCATTTATTTTATTTATTATTTCAAGAAGGAGTTTAGCTCTTGCCCTCCAGGCTGGAGTGCAGTGGCACGATCTCGGCTCACTGCAACCTTCACCTCCTGGGTTCAAGTGATTCTCCTGCATCAGCCTCCGGAGTAGCTGGGATTACAGGCGCATGCCACCACGCCCAGCTACATTTCCTTTATTTTACTTTTTATAATTTACTAGCCTGTTTGTTGATAACAAGACTGGCGGTGCACAAGGTTGGGTCTCGGGGCTCACCGGGTATGGACCAGGTGGGAGGGTCTCCAGCACCTGGTACAAATCTGCAAGAAAGTGCAGGAAACGGCACTAAGGGTAGGCGTTCCAGCGCAGAAATGCGCAGGAAAGGTTTTGCTGTGCTTGTAGGGAGGTCATCCCCAATCGCTTCTTATTGGCTTGCAGTGAGACGAGATCGCGCCACTGCACTCCAGCCCGGGCTACAGAGTGAGACTCTAACCAAAAAAAAAAAAAAAACAAACAAAAAAAAATTGTAAATGAATATCCATTGATGCATGAAATGGCTGCATTAAAGGAAAACTAGCCAAGAAAAGACAAGGCAAAAAAGTCAAGGATCAGTACGAAAAATAAATATATTTTAAAAGATTTGTTTTTAAAGCAACAACACGGGTTTAAATTTTAAAGGGAAAGAAGTAGCTCCAAGATAGAGGATACATGATGGCTTCTGAAGAAGGGAACATTATTCTTTGAAATGGAAAGAAATTATGACAAGAGGGTAGCACAGACTGAAGAGGTGGAGGTAAAAGGGGGTTCTTGGCCAGACACAGTGGCTCACACCTGTAATACGAGCACTTTCAGAGGCCAAGGCAGGTGGATCACCTGAGGTCAGGAGTTCGATGCCAGCCTAGCCAACATGGTGAAACATCTTCTCTACTAAAAATACAAAAATTAGCTGGGCATGGTGGCAGGTGCCTATAATGCCAGTTCCTTTAGAGGCTGAGGCAGGAGAATCACTTCAACCCGTGGGCGGAGGTTGCAGTGAGCCGAGATTGCATCACTGTTCTCCAGCCTGGGTGACTGAGCAAGATTCTCTCTCAAATTAAAAAAATTAAAAAAAAAATGTGTGTGGTGGGGTTATCTTGACTTTTCTCCATGTGTCTTAGGCCACAACTCTTACATGGGACCTTGCGGAAGAGATTCCTCAAACAATACCTTTACGGTGCTGCCTCCCTGATGGGGTGGGTTCTAAACAGCAGTGCCTTCCCCATCTGCTCAGTCCTTACTCACCTGGGCACCACCCTCCCGGTACGTCCCTTGAAACCATCCAGGGCTCTTTCCCTTGCTCCAGTAAGGAAATCACATCAGGCTTTGTGATAGAGAGACCTGTTTATAAGAAAAGAAGTAAGATGGCCAGGCATAGTGGCTCACTCCTGTAATCCCAGTACTTTGGGAGGCCAAAACAGGTGGATTGCTTGAAGTCAGGAGTTCAAGACCAGACTGACCAACATAGTGAAACCCTGTCTCTACTAAAAACACAAAAATTGGCCAGGTGTGGTGGCCGGTGCCTGTAATCCCAGTTGCTCAGGAGGCTGAGACATGAGAATTGCTTGAACCCAAGAAGAAGGTTGGAGTGAACCGAGATCACGCCATTGCACTCCAGCCTGGGCGATAGACTGAGACTTCATGTCGAAAAAAAAAGAAAAAGAAAGAAAGAAAGAAAAGAAGTAAGACATACTCGTGCTGTTCCTGAATTCAAAGTTAGTCCCTTAGTACTCACGAAGGACTAGAGGAAGGTGTAAAGGTCTGAAGCATGGAGAAGATACAGGGACCCCAAAGAGCTGCCCATCTATTAATCTACAAAACACAAAACAATTCCCTAGGCAGCAGGTGAAAAGTCACCCAGACAAGTGAAAGCTACACCCAAGATTCATGAGTTATTTGGGGATAGACATCCTTACCTAGTGAGACCAGGCTGCTATAGTTCTCCATCATTACATTTCTGTATAAGTCCTTCTGAGCAGTGTCCAGGCACTCCCATTCCTCCTGAGAGAAGTCTATAAACAGATCCTGGAACATGCCCAACCCCTGAAATGACAAACCCAGGCAGCACTGTTGAAATTAAAGGAAAGGTTTTTAAGATGAAGGAAGAGACGGAAGGGTGCTGAAGGATGGAGAGAATATAGTGAGCAGACTGGCTAGGCTGAGAGTGGGGAAGAGTAAAAAAATTAGTGTAACTTCAACAGAGTACCTCCACGTTCATGAATATTCCTGTTGTAGCCGGCAAACTTCCTTCATAGAATGGGACATTCCCAGTATTCCATGGTTACAGCTGGGAATGAATAAAGTATATTGATATATTATTTCCTAAATAAGTGAAATAGAGTAGAAAAGCACACAGAAAGCTGTAGGCCTGGCAAAGCTTCAAGAATATTACAGTAAACATCTGATATGCAAGTTACTATTTACAACAAAAGCTTAATAAATAGGCACTTCCCCCTTACCATTTTCTTTCTTGTTTTTTTTTCTTCTCTTGTTTCATTTTTTTGTTTTTGTTTTCACTTTGAGACAGGGTCTCGTTCTGTTGCCCAGGCTGGAGTGCAGTGGCACAATCACAGCTCACTGCAGCCTCAACCTTCCAGGCTCAGGTGATCCTCCCACCTCAGCCTCTGTATTAGCTTTGACTATAGGCATGGACCACCATGCCCAGTCAATTTTTTTTTTTTTTTGTATTTTTAGTAGAAACGAGGTTTTGTCATTTGGCCAGGCTACTCTCAAACTCCTAAGCTCAAGCAATCCATCTGACTTGGCCTCCCAAAGTGCTGGGATTACAGGCATGAGCCACCACACCCAGCCTTGTCTCTTTTCTTAAAGGAAGACAGGATTTTTCAAAAATATCTACAAAAAGTTTAAAAACCTCTATTGGCCGGGCACAGCGGCTCACACCTGTAAACCCAGCACTTTGGGAGGCCAAGGCGGATGGATCGCCTGGGATCAGGAGTTCGAGACCAGCCTGACCAACATGGAGAGACCATTTTAGTCTCTACTAAAAATATAAAATTAGCTGGGTGTGGTGGCACATGTCTGTAATCCCAGCTACTTGGGAGACTGAGGCAGGAGAATCGCTTGAACCTGGGAGGTGGAGGTTGCAGTGAGCCGAGATCGCACCACTGCACTCCAGCCTGGGCAATAAGAGTGAAACTGTCTCAAAAGAAAAACAACAACAACAAAAACAACAAAACCTCTATTGCACTTTGATAATTAGTACTTCCATAAAGTGGTATAGATAGTACTTTGATAATTAAATGTACATTGGCTGTGTGTGGTAACCCACACCTGTAATCACAGCACTTTAGGAGGCCAAGGCAGGTGAATTGCTTGAGTTCAAGAGTCCAAGATCTACCTGGGCAACATGGCAAAACTCTATCTCTACAAAAATAGATATCATATACAAATTAGCCAGATGTAGTGGGACATGCCTCTAGTCCCAGCTACTTGGGAGGCTGAGGTGGGAGGATTGCTTGAGCCTAGGAGGTCAAGGCTGCAATGAGCTGTGATCCTGCCACTTGCACTCCAGCCTAGGCACCAGAGCAAGATCCTGTCTCAAAAAAATAAATAAATATATAAAAGGCCAGGCGCGGTGGCTCACGCCTGTAATACCAGAACTTTGGGAGGCCGAGTAGGGCAGATCATGAGGCCAAGGGATCAAAACCATCCTGGCCAACATGGTGAAACTTTGACTCTACTAAAAATACAAAAATTAGCTGAGCATGGTGGCACGTGCCACTACTCGGGAGGCTGAGGCAGGAGAATTGCTTGAACCCAGATGGTGGAGGTTGCAGTGAGCCAATGTCGTGCCACTGCACTCCAGCCTGGTAACAGATTGAGACTGCATCTCAAAAAAAAAAAAAAAAAAAAAGAGTGGGTATCATGGTAGGAATAAACTGCACACAGGTCAAACAAAAGTTACAAGGGCATCTGCCAGTATAAACAAGTTTCCTGTGAGACACCTGGTTATGGGTCTGATACTTGAGCATTAGGCTGTGGTCCAGGAAAAAGAAATTTCTGGTGAAAAGCTACTCTAAAGACCCATAGACCCCTCCCCTAGAGCCCCATTAGAGTGAGGTAGAGTTTATAGCCATTCTGAGAGACCTCAAGACCCAATTAGAAGAAAACTATAACATTTGTTATATAGAAGGCATTTTTCCAAAGAGTAGTTCAAAGATAAAAGATATAGTCTTCCTTTGGATATAAAACAAAATCTCAAGATACACCAAAACTGTTTTGCTTTTACTGAATAATTTTTGTGCATATGTGTTTAGCTGCAAGTGGCTAACAAGCTGTGATTTTCTTTCCTTTCCTTTCCCTTTTTTTTTTCTTGAGACAGTCTTGCTCTGTCACCCAGGCTGAAGTGCAGTGGCCTGATCTTGGCTCACTGCAACCTCAGCCTCCCATAGCTGGGATTACAGGTGCCTGCCACCACACCCAGCTAATTTTTGTATTTTTGGTAGAGACGGGGTTTCACTGTGTTGCTGAGGCTGGTCTCAAACTCGTGGCCTCAAGTGATCCACCCACGTTGGCTCCCAAAGTACCAGGATTACAGGCGTGAGCCACCATGCCTGGCCAACTCTGATTTTCTAATTTGCCTCATGTATTAGGTTCATACTGGGAAAAAAAAAACAGGTCAGAGCCATTAGAGCCACGTGTACAGATGTGCAGTAGCTCTGCTGGCAACACTGCTGCTTGCTTCAGCTCTTAAGACAGATGAGTTCAGCACGTGTCTGCCCTTGCTCTAGCTGTCTCTGATTCCCCCCAACAGATGCATAATCATGTAACTCCTTTAGGTTCACTTTGGATATCCCATCATTAGATTAAAACCAGCAGGCCAAAAAGATAACTTGAGGAAATGCTTTCACATCCAGTGTTCTCATAGGGCCAGTATCATTTAGACATGTCAGGACCATGGTTGCAGGAGACAGAATGAAGTGTCATCCTTAACTGGCCATCCAATGTCATCAGCATGAACAGGAGGACTTTATAGGATGTTATCTGATGTTTTCTGAATATTACCTTACAAATGCTGCTTTATTTTTAACTTAAGAATAGGGACCCTGTCTTTTAAAGCTTTATACATCCTCAAGTAAAGGTTTTTCTTATTAAATCCATTAAAAAAATCTAAAGGCTGACCTGGAAATTCCATTTCTAAGTATTTATCCAAAGTAAACATTTTTTTTTTCTTTTTTTGAGATGGAGTTTCGCTCTTGTTGCCCAGGCTGGAGTGCAGTGATGTGATCTCAGCTCACTGCAACCTCTGCCTTCTGTGTTCAAGCGATTCTTCTGCCTCACCCTCCTGAGTAGCTGGGATTACAGGCACGCACCACAACACCCAGCTAATTTTGTATTTTTAGGAGAGATGGAGTTTCTCCATGTTAGTCAGGCTGGTCTCAAACTCCTGACCTCAGGTGATCCACCCACCTTGGCCTCCCAAAGTGCTGGGATTACAGGTGTGAGCCACCACGTCCTGCCAAGAATTATTATTATTTTTTTTTTTGAGACAAGTCTCAATCTGTTACCCAGGCTACAGTGCAGTGAGGTGATCACAGCTCACTGCAACCTCTGCCTCCTGGGTTCACGTGATTTTTGTGACTCAGCCATCAAAGTAGCTTGGAATACAGGCACACACCACCATACCTGGCTATTTTTTTTTTTTTAATTATTTTTGGTAGAGAGCAGGTTTCACCATGTTGGCCAGGCTGGTCTCAAACTCCTGGCCTCAAGCAAGGCCACTTTGGGAGGCCAAGGTGGGCAGATCACCTGAGGTCAGGAGTTCAAGACCAGCCTGGCCAACATGGTGAAACCTTGTCTCTAATTAAAATACAAAAGGTAGCCAGGCGTGGTGGCAGCTACTCAGGAGGCAGAGGCAGGAGAATCGCTTCAGCCTGGGAGGCGGAGGTTGCAGTGAGCCCAGACTGTGCCACTGCACTCCAGCCTGGGCAACAGAGTGAGACTGTCTATCAAAATATAAATAAATATAAAAATAGAAAAAAGCCGGGCACAGTGGTTCATGCCTGTAATCCCAGCACTTTGAGAGGCCGAGGCAGGTGGATGACTTGACATCAGGAGTTCCAGACCAACCTGGCCAACATGGCAAAACCCTGTCTCTACTAAAAATACAAAAATAAGTCAGGTGTGGTGGCTCACCCTCTAATCCCAGCTACTTGGGAGGCTGAGGCAGGAGAATCACTTGAACCTGGGAGGCAGAAGTTGCAGTGAGCAGAGTTCGTGCCATTGCACTCCAGCCTGGGCAACAAGAGCGAAACTCCACCTCAAAAAAAAAGAAAAGAAAAGAAAAAAGAATACAAAAAATTAGCGGGGTGTAGTGGCACATGTCTGTAATCTAGGCTACTCAGGAGGTTGGGGCAGGAGAATCCCCTGAACCTGGAAGGTGAAGATTACAGTGAGCTGAGACTGCACCACTGCACTCCAGCCTGGGTCACAAGAGCCAAGAGCAAGAATCCATCTAAAAAAAAAAAAAAGAATTTCTATTTGGGGTACAAAATAAAAGAAATGGAGTGAGATGGATGTAAGGAAATTGAAAGTCAACTGGCTAATAATGCCAATAAATAATGATGGAGCAAAGAAATCAGTATTGGCCAAATAAAACCAACACATTTTTAAATATTTTTTCAAAATGTAGACAAAGTTTTCCAGTACACTGAGACACTTCTACTATCAAGATTATTATATTGGCTGAGCACAGTGTCTTATGCCTATGATCCCAGCACTTTGGGATGCCAAGGTAGGAGGATCGCTTGAGCCCAGAAGTTCAAGTCAAGCCTGGGAAATATAGGGAGACACCATCTCTGCAAAAATAACAAAAAATAAAATAAAATAAATAAAATAACATAAAATAACATAAAATAACATCAAAATAAAATAAAATAAAATAAAATAAAATAAAATAATAAGCCAGGCATGGTGGTATATATCAGTGAGCTGTGACCACCCCACTGCACTCTAGGCTAGGTAACAGAGCAAGACCCTGTCTCAACAAAAAAACTAGAATATAGAATAAATGACATTCGGGTAAGTGGAATATTAGGTGTTCAATAAACATAGGTTATTCCCTCCCTATCTCCATAAAATCATCAATTATTTTAAAAGAGAAGTTTTGATTAGAATCTAAAAATATCAATACTCTTTCCAAAAAAGGAGGGAGGATTTAAATATAACAATTTGTTGGTTATTTCTATTTATTTTCATTGTTACTTAATATTAGTAATGAAAATGCAATTGCCCTCTTTCAAACATAGTTTTAATTAGTTGCACAAAATGCCACCTTATAGTCTGATGTACTTCAAATTTCCATATCTATGAAAGCTAAATTTGAATATTATCATCTCAAGGATATTATAATTTCTGTCTTTTAATCTATCTAGGGTTCTACCTTTTCTGTAAGCCTTAGTGAATCTCACTATAGTCCTCCTTCCCTTTAAAAATGCAGTGACAGGCCGGGTGCAGTGGCTCTTCCCTGTAATCCCAGGACTTTGGGAGGCTCAGGTGGGAAGATTGCTGGAGCTCAGGAGTTCAAGATCAGACTGGGCAACATGGCAAAACCCCATCTGTGCAAAAATTACAAATATTAGCCTGGCATGGTGCCATATGCCTATAATCCAGCTACTTGGGAGGCTGAGGAGGGAGGATCCCTTCAGTCTCGGAGGTCAAGGCTGCAGTATGCCCTGATCCTGCCACTGCACTTTTGGAGGCTGAGGCAGGTGGATCACCTGAGATCAGGAGTTCGTGACCAGCCTGGCCAATATGGTGAAACCCTGTCTCTACTAAAAATACAAAAATTGGTCGGGTGTGGTGGTGGGTACCTATAATCCCAACTATTCAGGAGGCTGAGACAGGAGAATCACTTGAACCCGGGAGGCGGAGGCTGCAGTGAGCCGAGATTGCACCACTGCAGTTCAGCCTGGGCAAGGCCGAGTGAGACTCTGTCAAAACAAAACAAAACAAAACAAAACAAAACAAAGAAAGAAAGAAAGAAAAAGAAAAAGAAAATCAGTGATAGGTGAGGCAGCTCATGCCTGTAATCATAGCACTTTGGAGGCAGAGGGGGAGGATCACTTGAACTCAGGAGTTCAAGACCAGCCCAGACAACATAGTGAGTCTTCTTCTCTACTGAAAATTATTTTTAATTATGCCACAGTGCTAGTGTGTGCCTCTGGTTTCAGCTTATTTGGCAGGCTGAGGTAGAAGGATCGCTTGAGCACAGGAGATCAAGGCTGCAATGAGCTGAGATCGTGCCACTGTACTCCAGCCTGGGAGACAGAGTGAGACTCTACCTCAAAAATAAAAATAAATACATAAATAAAAATTCAGCGATGGAGTTGATGGATTTGAGGTTGAGGACCACCAATGTGAACCCGTTTGGAAAAAGCTCAACCTGTGTTCTTCCTCTGCTTCACACCAAAACCACAACAATCCAACCAGAAGACTTCTGTGGCCTCAAAATATGAGGAGATTTCTCCCTATCAGCAAGCAAGGAATCAGTTCTGCAGCAGACACCAGCTGGGTGTCCACCAATTCGATTCTGACACTATCTACCATAAGATAGTGTCACCCCACAGATCGAGTGCTCAGCCCCCAAAACTGCCCCCCTTTCAGACACCAATCACAAGTCCCAGCCTCTGGAACTTCTGACTGATGGGTTTAATTTGGGGTTCCTACGACCCCCTCTTTGGGTTTGATTAATTTGCTAGAATAAAATGGCTCACAAACCTCAGGGAAACACATTTACTGTTTGATTATAAGGATATTCCAAAGGATATAGATGAAGAGAGGCCTAGCACGAGGTATGGGGGAAGGGGCACAGAGCTTCCATCCCCTCCCTGGGCACGACTCTCCAGGAACCTCCATGTGTTCAGCTCTCTGGAAGCTCTCCAAATCCACTCCTTTTGGGTTTCTAAGGAGGCTTCATTACATAGGCATGATTGATTAAACCATTGGCCACTTGCCATCAATTTAATCCTCAGTCCCCTCCACTCCCCAGGGGTGGGAGGGTAGGGGCTGAAAGTCCCAACCCTCTAATCCTGCCTTGGTCTTTCTGATGACCAGCCCACATCCTGAGGCTATCGGTCAATCACTAACATATAAAAAACCAAAGCCTGGGTGCGGTGGCTCATGCCTATAATCCCAACACTTTGGGAGCCTGAGGCAGACAGATCACTTGAGGTCAGGAGTTCGAGACAAGACTGGCCAATATGGTGAAACCCCGTCTCTACTAAAAAAGAAAACAAAGACAAAAATTAGCCAGGCATGGTGGCACATGCCTGTAGTCTACTCGGGAGGCTGAGGCAGAAGAATTGCTTGAACCCGGGAGGCAGAGGTTGCAGTGAGTGGAGATTGTGCCACTGCACTCCAGCCTGGGTTACAGAGCAAGACTCCGTTTCAAAAAAAAAAAAAAAAAAAAAAAAAAGCAAGCTCTTAGGACATTCCAAGGATTTTAGGAGTTGTATGCCAGGAAATAGGTACAAAGACCAAATCTGTATTTGACAAAATCACAGAACCGTATGAGTATTTAATTCAATACAGACATGGAAACTGGCGCAAGCAGCAAGCATTTACTCACAGATGACTGGGCAAATCCCTGGTCCTATGGGTACAAACTATTGATCAAACCCCCAATCTCATTCCTACCCCTAAAATATCGCAAAGTGAAAGATCTTATTACCTATTTGGACTGAGATTAACACCATCCCTTAAACTGCATGGCTTTCAATCCCAGGGCTATGGCATGTGATGCCACATAGAACATGCACGAAACTTCTCTCCAGCAATTGAGTTGTTAGGATAAAGGCTCTTGTCTTCGCCTTCTTTCTCTCACAGCCAAGAATATTAAGGAACGTGGACACAAAGGATGAGGTTGGAACAGAAGTTTAATAAGCAAAAGAATAAAGCTCTCCCCAGCGGAGAGGGGACCCGAAAGAGGGTTGCAAACTAGGAGGCTGAATCTGGGGGTTTTGTGAACTGGGAAGGGGAAGAATGTGCTCACTGGTCTGTGAGCTGTCTTGGCGAAAGCACTACTTCGCTTGGCCTGGGACCTTAGCCTGGGACCAATCAGAGGCTGAAGTGAAATTTTGGCCCAAGACCAATCAGGGGCTGAAGTGAAAGTTTGGCCCAGGACCAATCAGGGGCTGAAGTGATGATTCATAGAGCCTCGGCTCACAGTCCAAAGCATGTCCAGAAAAGGAAAGTGGCCGCCGGAGCCTGTTGGTCCAAGCTGCACCGATTTGTAAGCCCCCACCATTTCACAGAGCCTGGTCAGAGGGAAATATTCCACTGGGGTTTGGGCTGCGAGAAACATCCTCCCCAACTGCCTGACTTCCTTATGACATCCTGCTGGGGAAAGGCCCAAGAAACATCCTTATCAACATTCTCCCAGGCAACAAGCCATACTGCCCAGACCCCTCCTGACCAGGCCTATAATTACTCCAGCCTGTAAGCGGCAGTGGGCTCTGGCATTTAGTTGGTCCCCTCCATAGAGCCGCCAACTCTCTCTCTTTCTTTAACCTTCACCTTCCCTTCAAAATCTAACAGAGCCCACAAAAAAGCGACTATTTCCTGGAAGCCCGCTGGTCACACAAAGGACAAAGGCATTTCTATGTTGGGCCTCGGTCCCTTATCAATGCAGCTGAGGAATTGTCTTTAGGACAACCCGCTTTGCTAGTTTTCCTTCTCTGTGCCTGCAGCCTGATTTTTCAGGCTGTTTCTCTGTTTAAAGGAGTTTTACCAAGGACCTGCCCTAACTCCCTAAAGGGTTTTTTTCTCTCAAGGGGACACACAAAGTTCCAATCGCACACAGGCCTCCCTATATCCGCTTACCCTCTGCCTCACAGCCAATCACACTCTCCTCTGTCACAGAGACCACGGGGCCACACAAGTTGCACCTGCGGGGCCACACAAGTTGCACCTGCACAGCCACAGACCTGCAACTCACGCACACACAGTACTGCACACACACGCAAAGTCACACACCCACCCTGGGACACGCAGTCCGAACCACACAGTCACTGGTTGTCCACATCCGTACACACAACGCGGCTCGTCCAGGACACACACATCCAGTCGGAGCGCGCACAGTCACAAGCGCCCATCTGATCACACAGAGTCAGCACCACACAGCCACAGTCACAGACCACGAAGACCCACGGCAACCATCGCAATCACACACGCAAACTCCTCTCCTCAGCCCTCCACACACAAAAGGACCGAAGCTGGATTCCTCATCCTCAGCTTTCTCTAGTTCCGTTCGGGGCCAGCCTGGCCAAGTTACTACGGACTCCAAGGCGCGGCAGCAGCTAATTGCGCACAGCGAAAGATTCTGCCACCTGGCTAAGAGGAAGCCGAAATCTCGCAAGACGTGGTATTGGCCTGCAGAATCCTCCGGGAAATGTAGTCCAGAGCCCGACTGCTCCCCTACTAAAAATACAAAAATTAGCCGGGCCTGGTGGGCGCCTGTAATCTCAGCTTCTTGGAAGGCTGGGGCAGCAGAATCGCTTGAACCTGGGAGGTGGAGGTTGCAGTGAGCCGGGATCGCGCCGTTGCACTCCAGCCTGGGTGACAGAGCGAGACTCCGTCTCAAAAAAAAAAAAAAAGGTAAGCAGACATGTCTGCTGCCCACATGAGGTTTACATTCTAGTCTGGAGAAAAAAAAAGATTTTAAATTAAAAGTGGAAAATGAAGTAATTTTATATTGTGATAAATACTATGAAATAAGTCAATAGGTGGTATAAGCAGTAACTTGAGGGATACTTCCTGTAGCATTGATAGGACGCGTGTCTGAGAGATAACCCTCGAGCTTTGGTGGTGAGGAGCCAGCAGTGTGGAAGGGTATTCCAAACAGAGGCACAGTTACACTGAAGATCCTGAAAAATCAGAGAGCGCTTGGAGCGTTCCGGAAATAGAAAGCAGCCTGGTGTGACTGAAGCTTAGCAAGTGAATGGGAAATTAGTTTAGATTTAGGATGCAGAGATCGGCATTTTCCGATTCATATGAGAAAATGATAGTGCTGAGATTACAGACGTGAGCCACTGCACCCAGCCCCAAACCAAGATTTTACAGCAGCAAGAATAGATGTTCTGGTAGGGTCAGCGTCTAAAGATTTTACAAACAATATCTCTTCTTCTAGTTTGCAGCCATTATTTAAATAACAAACATGTCCTATTGTCAGGCCTTACTTTCAGTAACTGATTTCATTGATCTGAATAGGAAACTTACTTGATTAATCAGCTACTCTTTGGTACTACCTGACATCTCATTAATGCATCTTTGAATTAAATTATTGCTCAATAGGAGTGATTGTGAAATAGTGGCAATGTGTTACATCATTATTGAAGTTACCGTCTCTAATGTGAGTCCTATGACAGTTTCAGCAAGTATAAAGCACTATGGGGTTTTATAATGATTTCTGTAATCTTTTCTTTTCTTTCTTTTTTTTTTTTTTTTTTGAGAGAGTCTCGCTCTGTTAGCCAGGCTGGAGTGCAGTGGCATGATCTCAGCTCACTGCAAACTCCGTCTCCAGGGCTCAAGTGATTCTCCTGCTTCAGCCTCCCGAGTAGCTGGGATTACAGGCGTGTGCCACCACACCCGGCTAACTTTGTATTTTTAATAGAGACGGGGTTTCACCATGTTGGCCAGACTGGTCTCAAACTCCCGACCTCAGGTGATGCGCCTACCTCAGCCTCCCAAATTGCTGGGATTACAGGCGTGAGTCACCACATCTGGCCTATTTCTGCAATTTTATAAGGCAATTATTTCATCATAATTTGTTTGCTTATTCTTTTTTTTTTTTTTTTTTTTGAGACCGAGTGTTGCTCTATAGTCCAGGCTGGAGCATGGTGCTACAATCTGGGCTCACTGCATCCTCTGCCTCTAAGGTTGAAGCGAGTCTCCTGCCTCAGCCTCCTGAGTACCTCGAATTACAGGTGCACACACCATGCCCGGCTAGTTTTTGTGTTTTTAGTAGAGACAAGGTTTCACCGTATTACCCAGGCTGGTCTCCAACTCCTGGGCTCACGTGATACACCCACCTCAGCCTCCCAAAGTGTTGGGATTACAGGTGTGAGCCACCTCACCCTGTGGCGTGTCCTTCTTAAATAAGAAGTAACAGTGTTACAGTTCAAAATTCTATTTTAAACGTTTTAAATATTCTGTTTCTTGACTTTATCAGGATGTTTCTTTTTTTGATGATCCACAATTCTTGATGATTTCATAGCCGTTTGTAAAAACAAACATAAAAGAAACAAACAAAAACTATTACTCATAAGGAACGAGCTGTTTTGAGTTAAATGGGGTTTTCAATAAAACCGTAAGCTAGGCTGGGCGCGGTGTCTCACAACTGTACTCCTAGCACTTTGGGAGGCTGAGGTGGGTGGATTGCCTGAACTCAGGATTTCGAGACCAGCCTGGGCAACAGGGTGAAACCCCCTCTTTACTAAAATACAAAAAATTAGCTGGGTGTGGCGGCATGTACCTGTAGTCCCTGCTACACAGGAGGCTGAGACAGGAGACTTGCTAGAACCCAGGAGGTGGAGGTTGCAGTGAGCCAAGATCATGCCACTGCATTCCAGCCTGGGCAACAGAGTGAGTCTCCATCTCTAAAAACAAAAACAAACAAACAAACAAACAAACAAACAAAAAACCAGTTGACCAGATATTCATTCATTCAGATGTAGTCAACACTTTTCATTTTCAATACTTAACACAATTAATACTAGGTTGAATTACTTTCATAATATAAACTATTTTACATAATTCCAAAAGTACTGAGGATCAATCATAAATACCATCCACAAGGCAGCCAATAGGCACACACAGACCACCTCGCATATAACTTTGGGATAGAGCATTCAATCAAGAAAAAGTCTTCCAGATATAGCCATCGATTTCCCATCATTTTGTAGCACTGATCTTGCAAAGATTTTTTTTTTTTTTTTTTTGAGGTGGAGGCTCACTCTGTCACCCAGGATGAAGGGCGGTGGCACGATCCACTCACAGACACCTCTGCCTCCTGGGTTCCATCGATTTTCCTGCTTCAGCCTCCCATGTAGCTGGGATTACAGGCAGGTGCCACCACTTCTGGGTAATTTTTTTGTATTTTTAGTTGACACAGGGTTTTACTATGTTGGCCAGGCTGCTCTTGAACTCCCGAATTTCAGTGATCCACCTTCCTTGGCCTCCCACAGTGCTGAGATTACAGGTGTGAGCCACTGTGCATGGCCTGATCTTGCATGGATTTTTTATCTTCCATAAAATGATTAATGTTGCCCAAAATATTTGAGAGAAATTAAATACCAGGGAGTAAAATTTTGTGCAATAGGCCAGGCACGGTGGCTCATACCTGTAATCCCAGCACTTTGGGAGGCTGAGGCAGGCAGATCACTTGAGATCAGTAGTTCTAGACCAGCCTGGCCAACATGGTGAAACTCCGTCTCTACAAAAAATACAAAAATTAGCTGAGTGTGGTGGTGTATGCCAGTAATCCCAGCTACTTGGGAGACTGAGGCAGGAGAATCGCTTGAACCCAGGAGGCGGAGGTTGCAGTGAGCAAAGTTTGCAACACCACACTCCAGTCTGGGCAGCAGAGTGAGCCTCTATCTCCAAAAAATAAAAAAAAAATAAAAAAAATAAAATAAAATTGTGGAAGGCCACAAACCATTGCAACAACTATAATTCATTTTACCTTCAATAACCAATGTTCACCCTCTTAGGGGCAATATCACTCCCATTAAGAATGCTTGGCCAGGCACAGAGGTCCATGCCTGTAATTCTAGCACTTTGGGAGGCCAAGGGGGGCAGATCCGCTGAGGTTAGGAGTTCCAGACCAGCCTGGCCAACATGGTGAAACCCTGTCTCAACTAAAACACAAAAATTAGCCTGGCATGGTGGCATGCACCTGTAGTCCCAACTACTCTGGAGGTTGAGACAGGAGAATCTCTTGAACCTGGGAGGTGGAGGTTACATTGAGCTGAGATTATGCCACTGCTCTCCAGCCTAGGTGACAGAGTGAGACCCTGTCTCAAAAAAAAAAAAAAATGCTTCCAGTAAGGCTAAATAAATATACAAATTAGGCATGTGGCATGTGTGTTAGTATACGTACAATATATTTCCTAGTTCTGCCCACTAAGAGGGCCTAGAAGCAATGACACACCCATAGCAATGAGCACACGTGTCACCCCGATCTTGGCGATTTTTTGTTTGGTTTTTAAAAATAGAGATGGGGGTATCACTGTGTTGCCCAAGCTTGTCTCAAAATCTTGGCCTCAAGGGATCCTCCTGCCTCAGCCTCCCAAACTGTTGAGATTACAGACCTGAGCCACCTCACCCACCCCAAGATTTTGGTGCTTTGTAAATAATACTTTTCAATAAAAGAAACAAAGAATCTTTAAATAAATAGTTTATTCCACGTCTGGGTCAGGGAAAATACCAGATGAATCAAAACACTTTATGGTGCCAGAAAGTTGGGAATAAGTCCCACACCCCAACCCCCGGATAAAGGCATGCTATAAATAGAACACAGGAGCCAACCTAAAGAAATGCCCAAGGCCGATGTTTTGTTTTGCTTTGTTTTGTTTTGTTTTGTTTTTTTGATGCAGTTTCACTCTTGTCACCCAGGCTGGAATGCAGTGGTGTGATCTTGGCTCACTTGAACCTCCTGGGTTCAAGTGATTCTCCTGCCTCAGCCTCCCGAGTAGGTGGAATTACAGGTGCCTGCCACCACGCCCAGCTGATTTTTTGTACTTTTAGTAGAGACGGGGTTTCAGCAGGTTGGCCAGGCTGGTCTCAAACTCCTGACCTCAGGTGATCTCCATGCCTCGGCCTCCCAAAGTGCTAAGATTACAGGCATCAGCCATTGCACCTGGCCTGTGTTTGTATTGTTTTCAGTATCACAACCACATACATGTTCAATTGCACATATACTGTGTTCTCTACAAATGTGCAGTTTGGACCTGACTCTTCTTGGTACTCTACAACAAGAGCATTGCATTGTCACACATGTAGACAATGAATTGACTCAGAATCACAAATACTTGTACTGGGGACCCACAGGGAGAAGTCAAGCCCTAGGAAGAGTACCAGGTCATCATCTGGGAAAGGAAATATTAGGAGTATTTGGGGTGTGAATAGTACTGTATTGAATTCCAATTCATTTCAAAATATATTTCACAGATTATCACAAACCAGGAAATAAATTGTGTGTATTTTTCTTTGTTTTGTTTTGTTTGTTTCTTTGTTTTTTTAGACAGAGTTTTACTCTTGTTGCCCAGGCTGTAGTGCAATGCCATGATCTTGGCTCACCTCAACCTCCACCTCCCCGAAATCTCTGCCTCCCAGGTTCAAGCAATTCTCTTGCCTCAGCCTCCCAAGCAGCTGGGATTACAGGCATGTGTCACCATGCCTGGCTAATTTTGTATTTTTAATAGAGATGGAGTTTCTCCATTTTTTTTTTTTTTTGAGACAGATTCTCACTCTATTGCCCAGGCTGGAGTGCGGTGGTGAGATCCCAGCTCACTGCAACCTCTGCCTCCTGGGTTCAAGCGATTCTCCTGCTTCAGCCTCCCAAGTAGCTAGGATCACAGGTGCCTGCCACGGTGCCTGGCTAATTTTTGTATTTTTTAGTAGAGTTGGGGATTCACCATCTTGGCCAGGCTGGTGTTGAATTCTTGACCTTGTGATCCACCTGCCTCAGCCTCCCAAAGTGCTGGGATTACAGGCGTGAGCGACCGAGCCTGACCAGTTTGGGTTTTTTGAGACAGTCTTACGCTGTCATCCAGGCTGGAGTGCAGTAGCATGATCTCAGCTCACTGCAACCTCTGCCTCCCGGATTCCAGTGATTCTCCTGCTTCAGCCTCCTGAGTAGCTGGGATTATAGGCACATGCCACCAATCACGGCTAATTTTTTTGTATTTTTGGTAGAGATGGGGTTTCACTGTGTTGGCCAGGATGGCCTCGATCTCCTGACCTCGTGATCTGCCCACCTTGGCCTCTCAAAATGATGGGATTACAGGCATGAGCAAGCATGCCCAGTGAACTGTGACCATTTCCAAAGCCATGATTTATGGGAATAGCAGTTCTTTCTCTTTGTGTAAATAAACAGTGGCCACCAAAATAAGAACAAAGAGAGGCTTATGCATACAGAACTTGCTACAGAGTAAGGGTTCCATTTGTTTAAGTTGTCTATAGATTCTGGATATTATTAGGCCTTTGTTGGTTACATCATTTGTGAGTATCTTCTCCCATTCTGTAGTTTGTTTACTCTGTTGAGAGTTTGTCTTGTGTTTATGCTTTTATTTTACTTTAATTTTTTTTTTTTTGAGGCAATCTCGCTCTGTCACCCAGGCTGGAGTGCAGTGGTGTGATCTTGGCTCACTGAAACCTCTGCCTCCTAGGTTCAAGCAATTTTCCTGCCTCAGCCTCCTGAATAGCTGGGATTAGAGGTGTGTGCCACCACCACCTAATTTTTGTATTTTTGTTAGAGACAGGGTTTCACCATGTTGGTCAGGCTGGTCTCAAACTCCTGACCTTGTGATCTGCCCAACCCGGCCTCCCAGCTTCCGGTTTAATTAGGTAACACTTGTCTATTTTTGTTTTTGCTGCAATTTCTTTTTTGGAATCTTAGCCAAAAATTATTTGCCAAGGCCGGTGTTGAGAAGAGTGTTTCCTAGGTTGTCTTCCAGGATTTCTATAGTTTGAGGTCTTATATTTAAATCTTTAATCCATTTGGAGTTAATGTTTGTATATGGTGAAAGGTAGGGGGCCCAGACTCAGTCTTCTGCACGTGGGTAGCCAGTTATCCCAGAATCATTTGTTGAATAGGGAGTCCTTTCCTCATTGCTCGCTTTTGTTGACTTTGTCAAAGATCACATGGTTGTATGTGTGTGAAT
The DNA here is from genome assembly GCF_000001405.40 of Homo sapiens. NCBI lineage: Eukaryota > Metazoa > Chordata > Mammalia > Primates > Hominidae > Homo > Homo sapiens. The sequence continues at coordinate 37,559,726 of NC_000012.12, read as the reverse complement.
TTATTTCTGGGTTCTCTAACCTATTCCATTGGTCTATGTGTCTGTATTTGTACCACTACTATGCTATTTTGGTTACTGTAGCCTGGTAGTATAGTTTGAAGTGGCATATATGATGCCCATCAGCAGTGGATTGGATAACAAAAATGTGGTAATTATACACCATGGAATACTACATAGCCGTAGAAAAAGAAACCATGGCCCTTGAAGCAACATGGATGCAGCTGGAGGCCATTATCCTAAACAAATTGATGCAGCATCAGGTAACCAAATAGCCCATGGTCTCACTTATAAGTGGGAGCTAAACATTGAGTACACATGGACACAGAGATGGGATCAATAGACACTGGAGCCTGCTTGAGTGGGGAGGGTGGCATGAGGCTATGGGTCAAAAAACTATTGGGTACTGTGGTTACTACCTGGGTGACTATATCATTTGTACACCAAACCCAAGTGACATGCAATTTACCCATGTAACAAGCCTGCACATGTATCCCTTAAACCTAAAAACAGAAAAAAATTAAAAATAAATAAATGAGATATAAGTCTAATTGTTGAATGTTGTGAATGGTAACCAACAGAGCCATTGAAAATAGTGAGTGGCTGGGTCAGTGGCTCACGCCTGTAATCCCAACGCTTTTGGAGGCCAAGGTGGGTGGATCACAAGATCAGGAGTTTGAGACCAGCCTGGCCAAGATGGTGAAACCCCGCTTCTACTAAAAATACAAAAATTAGCTGGGCATGGTGACTCGTGCCTGTAATCCCAGCTACTCATGAGGCTGAAGCAGGAGGATCACTTGAACCTGGGAGGCGGAGGTTGCAGTGAGCTGAGATTGCACCACTGCACTCTAGCCTGGGTGACAGAGCAAGACTCTGTCTCAAAAAAAAAGAAAGAAAAGAAAAGAAAAAGAAAATAGTGAGAGCACCATATAAGGAAAGTGGTTCAGGCACTGTGGTAAGGGGTGAGTGTCAGCCAAGTCATCAGCTATCAGAACACGAAGCTATCAGGTAATATATCAAATTGATATATTAAGAAGGAGGGGCTGGGTGAGGTGGCTGATGCCTGTAATCCCAGCACTTTGGGAGGCCAAGGCAGGCAGATCATGAGGTGAGGAGATCAAGACCATCGTGGCTAACAGAGTGAAACCCTGTCTCTACTAAAAATACAAAAAAATTAGCCAGGTATGGCAGCAGGTGACTGTAGTCCCAGCTGCTGGGGAGGCTGAGACAGCATAATGGAGTGAACCCGGGAGGTGGAGCTTGCAGTGAGCCAAGATCATGCCACTGCACTCTAGCCTGAGTGACACAGCAAGACTCTGTCTCAGAAAAAAAAAAAAAAAACTGAAAGAGGAGGATCTACCTATTATATAACGGATAAGCACTCAGATATATAGATTATAAATAGTTTAGAAAATTTAAATATTTGGTTATTCAGAAAGTAGACTTGGGAGCATTGGAGAAACAGGGTGGGGAGTACACTGCATGGAAAGCTCTTTCTTAGTGTGGGATTTTCAATTATGCACGTAGGTTTCTTACATAATATGGAAAATTCAATTAAGAAACAACCTTGTGTTTTGGGGTACCAAAAGTTCAGTGATTGATTAGAAGGACTCACAAAACTGAGTCAAGCTGTTATACTCATAGTTATAGTTTATTACAACAAAAGGATACAGATTAAAATCAGCAGCAGAAAAAGGTGCATAGGGCAGAGTCCAGGAGAAACCAAGCACAAGCTTCCTGTTGTCCTCTCCCAGTGGCATCATGTGACCAATGCTTAATTCACCCAGCGATATGTGGCAGAAAGTACAGAAAATACTCCCCAACAAGAAGCTTACCGGAGCCTTGGGGTTGAGGGTTTTACTGGAGGTTAGTCTCATGGACAAGAGAACCCATTTGGATGACCTTAGTTTCTCTGTCTCCACCCTTCCCAAGGTCAAGCTGACACTGCATGGTCCAAGGTCCCCACAATAAATCACATTGTTAACTCCCAGATAGGCAGGAGATTCCAAGGACTTAGAGGTTATTTCCCAGGAGATGGGCTAGAGTCACACCATTCTTTGGAGTATGCCAGGTTTGGGCAATTCAGGCCTACTAAGTTTCCTTGACTGCACACAAGTGATAGTGAGTATGTAGGAAATGAGTAGTCGCATATATTGCTGGTGAAAGTACAGTGTTATATAACCCTTTGGAAAGAAATCAAGTGTGTAATGCATAAACATTATATTTGGTTTGACTTGTTTTTGTCTAAGACAGGGTCTCACTGTCACCCATGCTGGAGTGCAGTGGCATGATCACAACTCACTGTAGCCTTGACCACCTGGGCTCCAGCTATCCTCCCACCTCAGTCTCCTGAGTAGCTGGGAGCACAGGCACGTGCCACCACACCCAACTAATTTTTGTGTTTTTTGTACAGACAGGGTTTCACCATGATGCCTAGGCTGGTTTCAAACTGCTGAGTTTGAACAATCCCCTACCTCAGCTCCCCAATGTGCTAGGATTACAGGAGTGAGCCACTGTACCCAACCTATATTTGTATATACATTAAATTGTATATGTTAGGCCTGGCGCGGTGGCTCACATGTGGAATTCCAGCACCTTGGGAGGGCAAGGTCGGTGGACCACTTGAGGTCAGGAGTTCGAGAGCAGGCTGGCCAACATGGTGAAAACCCATCTCCACTAAAAAGACAAAGATAGCTGGACTTAGTGGCAGATGCCTGTATTCCCAGCTACTCAGGAGGCTGAGGCAGGAGAATCACTTGAATCCAAGATGTGGAGGTTGCAGTGAGCTGACATCACACCACTGCACTCCAACCTGGGTGACAGAGCAAAACTCCATCGCAAAAAACAACCAAAAAATTGGGTATGTTATTGTATGTATGTGGATATATTAAGTTGTATATACACATATTAAATATATATACATATATTATATTTTATACATATACATTTGTTTCCTCATGCAATTTGTTTCAGCAGAAGTAAAAATTAATAAAAGCATAAGTAAAAGAATATTTACAGAAGCACTATTTTTGGTGGCAAAAGTACTTTAGCATTTTAAATGCTCATATAATGGAAGATACTTTAACTCTTACAAAGAATGAGTTAGCTTTTTATCTACTATAAAGATAACCTAATATCTTTATACCAAAAGTGATATCAATAGCAAATTGTTATATAAAAAAGGAGAATGCTTTATAATTAAAGAAAAAAAGAAAGAAACATTATATAGTAGCCCTCCCTTATCTGCAGGAGATGTGATCTAAGAACGGCAGTGGATGTCTGAACCTTGGATAGCATTGACCCAATTGCTGTCAATCAGAGTGCATTTCTGTTTATGATTTCCATGCACAAATTTAATGCCTTTTTTATCTTAACTAAGTACTTACCACACATGTGGCTGTACTTTTTAGAGCTTGGGGTACAACAAACAAGACTAACAGAAATTTATTTTTCCTTCTTACATTTTCACCACTAGAGGATTTGTTCTTACCATCGATCTTAGCAACCTGAGTACATGACTTCTTTTTCTTTCTATTTTCTTTTTCTTTCTTTCTTTCTTTCTTGGTTGCTTGCTTGCTTGCTCGCTTGTTTCCTTTCTCTGTCTCTTTCTCTCTCTCTTTCTTCTTTTTTTCTTTCTTTTATCTTTTTTTTTCTTTCTTTCTTTCTCTTTATTTATTTATTGAGATGGAATCTCACTGTCGCCCAGGTGGGAGTGAAGTAATGTGATATCGGCTCCCTGTAACCTTCATCTCCCAGGTTCAAGAGATTCTCGTGCCTCCACCTCCCAAGTAGCTGGGAATACAGTCGCCCGCCACCACGCGCAAATAATTTTTGTGTTTTTTGTAGCGATGGGGTTTCACTATTTTGGCCTAGCTAGTCTTGAACTCCTGACCTCAAATGATCCACCCGGTTCAGTCTCCCAAAGTGCTGGGATTGCATGCATGAGCCACTGCACCTGAGCTGTATATGCCATTGTATGACTGCAAATAATTATATGAATCTTGGAGAACATCATGGAAAGATGTTCATCATCTTGTTAACTGGTTATTTCAAGAGTGGAACTGGAAGGGGAATACTGCCTTTCCTGTGTATTTATTTGTAATGTTTCATTTTCATTGTGAACATGTATTATTTTAATATGTTTAAATATTAATAAACACAGGAAAAATATGTAATTTTAATTCAAGCTGAAATCATCAAGGCAATCATACATAACAGATGGAGCAAATAAAACATTTAAAATGAATGAAAACGAGGGGAGGCCGGGCACGGTGGCTCATGCCTATAATCCCAGCACTTTGGGAGGCCAAGGCAGGCAGATCACTTGGGGTCAGAAGTTTGAGACTGCCTTGGCCAATCGAGACCCCTGGACTCGATTGGAATTGTCCCACAAACTTTTTTTTGAGGGAATCTCGCACTGTCACCCAGGGTGGAGTGCAATGGGGCAATCTTGGCTCACTGCAACCTCTGCCTCCTGGGTTTGAGCGATTCTCCTGCCTCAGCCTCCCTAGTAGCTCGGACCTCAGGTGTCCGCCACAACACCTGGCTAATTTTTTTCTATTTTTAGTAGGGACAAGGTTTCACAATGTTGGTCAGGCTGGTCTCAAACTCCTGACTTCAGGTGATCCACCGGCCTTGGCCTCTCAAAGTGCTGGGATTACACCCCACCAATCCCACAAATTTAAGCATTATGATACATCAGAGCCACCATGCCCCACCAATTACACATATTTAGGCATTATGATATATTGCTACTTTTAGAATCACTTGGTTTTTATACTGTGTTTTTTTCCCTTCATTTGTTTGTTTATTTGTTTATTTATTTATTGAGACAGAGTCTCGCTGTGTCACCCAGCCTGGAGTGCAGTGGCGCGATATCGGCTCACTGCAACCTCCACCTCCCAGCACTCCATCTCCACCACACTGGCAACTAACATGCCTCCTCAGGCCCCCTCAGGGTCTAGAGAGTGCGTCTGGAACAGACTGGGAAAATCCAGTAGGCAAAGTAAGGTGCCAGGAATAAAGACACCACCTGAAACATTCTCCATGTTCCCTCCACCCACTCCTCTCCCCACCACTTTTCCATCTGGCTCCAACTCTGCCCTCTCCCCAAGAGCCTCAGATTGAAACGTAGCAAGGAAGACAAAGATTCTCAAAGTCACAGGCTTGGGAATCTGAGCTACAAAGAAAAATGAGCCCCTGCTCCCCCAACTCCCCCATACTCCCCTGGGCACTGCTGCCCTGCACCCACCCCCACCTCCATAATTTGAACTGTCCTCCCAGAAGCTGGAGAGAGATTGCCCTCCTGTCAGGAAAGAAAGGACCAGCATGCGGCAAATGCCTGGGCTACGTAGGAGCAGATGGCGAGATTAGCGCAGGGATTTAAGAAACAAGTGGCTCTCAGACCAAAGAAGACTCTGCCCGAGATGGCACACTAAGCATTCATAGGGGCATGCACTGGAGAGGAGCTTGCCAGTTACCCAAAGAATTGTCTGAGAAAGGCTCTGATCTGACCCGAAAGGCCCTTGGTTCCCACGGCAACTCCTCAACGTCTAGCAGTAATAGGCTTCTGTGCCCAGACTTTCTGGGTCTGGAAGTCCCCCTCCGCCAGCTTCTTGCAGCCCAGAGGCACCTCCCATTGGCGCCTGATGGGTTAAGGAAGCTGTTCTTCTAACTGTGACAGAACAAGCCTGAGGACCTCTCGTGTGTCTTTCTTAGTTGTTTCTTCCCGCCCACCTGCCACTCAAAGCCACAACCCACTTGCATGTCCCCGAGTGGACCCCTTAAAGCGGCCATCTAGATCTGAACTGTGCTGAGTGAATGGTCAGCTTCGTTCCCATTAGATGGCTTGGCCCAAAGGACCTAGCGATCGCCCAGACAAAAATGTCTTCCTAAAAGCTGGATGTGTCTGTGGTCTCTAAGAGACAAAACAAAACCCAAAAGAAAAAGCCAACCCACCCACCCCTATCAGAAAACAAAACAAAAACAAAAACCGCCGACAACCCACCTTTCACACGAGGAGTCCTTGAGAAGGGCCTCTCCAGCCAAGATCAGGTAAGGGAATCTGTGCCCTTGGCTGGACCCAGAACACCCAGTGGCAGGGATCTGACTGTCACACTCTGACCCCATAGAATTTCCACCACTGACACAGATCAGGATGTGTCAGCCTGAGAGATGACACCACAAATCTGGCCTTCACACATTGATTCCACACTCTCTCATTGATTCCACACACATCCCATCACTGACACCAGATTCCCTCATCACTGACCCTACATACCCACAAGAATTGATTCCATGGATCTCATCACTATCCAAAAGACCACCCATCACTAATCTACAGAGCCTCATCTCTCACCCCAGGGACCCCACAGATTCCCCATCCCTGATTCCAGGAACTATAGAACCTCATCTCTTACCCCTACAGACCTATTTATAAGAGGATACGTTCATGGAATACCGTGTTGACCATTTTACACATCCATTGCGTGTGTATGTGTGTGTGTGTGTGCGCTGATTAATGGACTTAGGTAAACTTTAGCATTTTGGTAGCCAATGCAGTTTTTCAATGCCTTTTCTTTTTCTTTCTTTTTCTTGTACAACTTTAAAGACCTTACTCCACTAAATGTGATTTGTAATTTATCAATGCCTATCTCTTATTGGGTCCTTGTCATGCATATTTGTTATTAATCATAATTCACAATTCTTACAACTCAGAGACACCAGAGACTCACATAAGAAGAATAGCTGTGGGTTTTTATTATTGTTGTTGTTTTTTTTTTTTTTTTTTTGGTTTCTGTAGATTATAAAAGTCATTCATTTGTATCAAGTCAGTAAGTGTATATTTTGTTTTCTTAAAAAATGTAATTAAAAATATTTTTGCTGGAATGCAGTGGTATAATCGTGGCCACTGCAGCCTCGACCTCCTGGGCTCAAGTGATCCTCCCACCTCAGCCTACCTACTGGCTGAGACCACAGGCATGCTACAATATACCCACCTAATTAAACATTTTTTTTTTCTTTTGTAGAGATAGGCATCTCACCATGTTGCAGAGATTGGTCTTGAATTACTGGGTTCAACTGATCCTCCCACCTTGGCCTCCCAAAGTGTTGCAGTTAGAGGTGCGAGCCACTGCACTCAGCTGATAAAATCTTAAAAAGAGTAAAATACTTTGGGAAGTAATGTAAAATTTCCACTGAGATGATGCATCAGAAATTAAAGTAGAATAAAATGGTCCTAGTGTATCTGAAACAATGGAAACTAAATCTTGAGCCAGGCATGGTGGCTCACGCCTGCAATCCCAGCACTTTGGGAGGCCAAGGTGGTGGACTCATTTGAGGTCAGAAGTTCGAGACCAGCCTAGCCAACACAGTGAAATACCATCTCTACTAGGAATACAAAAATTAGCTGGGAGGTTGCAGTGAGCTGAAATCGTGGCACTGCACTCCAGCCTGGACAACAGAGGGAGACTATCTCAAAACATAAAATAAATAAAATAAAAATAAAGAAGAAACAATATCTTGATTTCTTCATTAAGTGTAAAAATGTGGACTCTGGAGGCACACAGGTACTCTTTTACTTTGAAGTTTTATTGAGAAATATTAACATGTCACAGAAGCCACCCATTTAAAGTGTAAAATTCAATGATTTCAGTATATTTGCACAGTTGTGCAAACATCACCACAATAAATTTTAGGTCATTTTCATTGCCCCAAAGTAAACCCCATATCCCTCCATTTCCCCCAGCCCTGGGCCACCACTAATCTACTTTCTGTCTCTATGCATTCATGTATGTTGGACATTTTATTTAAATGGAATAACATAGCATGTGATATTTCGTGACTGGCTTCTTCCACTTAGCATAATATTTTCAAGGTTCATTTAATCCTGCATGTGCAGAGGGGGCAGTTTGCATAAGGATCAACCTGGTAGGTGGTGCTTACTGATTGATTTTGAAACTTCACTCCAAAATTATTGTGTGTGTGTGTGTGTGTGTGTGTGTGTGTGTGTGTATATATAATTTTTTTTTTTTTGAGACACAGTCTGGCTGTGTTGCCAGGCTGGAGTGAAGTGGTGCGATCTCGGCTCACTGCAACCTCTGCCTCCCTGGTTCAAATGATTATCTTGCCTCAGCCTCCTGAGTAGTTGGGATTACAGGCATGTGCCACCACACCTGGCTACTTCTGTATTTTTAGTAGAAACAGTGCTCTTCCATGTTGGTCAGGCTGGTCCTGACCACCACCATGCCCAGCTAATTTTTTTTTTAAGACAGGGTCTCACTCTGTTACCCAGGCTGGAGTGAAGTAGCACAATGTTGGCTCACTGCAGCCTCGACCTCCAGAGCTCAAATGATCCTACCACTTCAGCCACCCAGGTAGCTGTGACCACAAACATGTGTCACACCTGCCTAATTTTTGTATTTTTAAAATACAAAAAAAAAAACCTGTTAAGACAGGGTTTTGGCATGTTGTCCAGGCTGGTCTCGAACTCCAGAGCTCAAGTGATCCACCTACTTTGGCCTCCCAAAGTGCTGGGATTACAGGTGTGAGCCACTGCACTTGGGCTAATGTTTTTTTTTTTTTTTTCTGAAGACATGAGGTCTTGCTGTGTTGCCCAGACTGGTCTCAAACTCCTGGCTCAAGCAATCCCCCGCCTTGGCCTTCCAAAATGCTGGGATTACAGGTGTGAGCCACCACACTGGCCCATTCTTTCTTTTATAATGAGTATTCAGAAATTTTTTTAAATGTGTTTTCCACTTACAGCATTTCTCAGGTTGGACTAGCCATCTTTCAAGTGTTCTGCAGCCTTATTAGACAGCACAGCTCTGGAGGGTGATTTTATGGACATTCCCACTGCTCTCTCTGCCTCCTTGATTCCCATCTACCCCAAACCCCTGCAGTCTGTGACTATCGTGTCTCTCTCTCCTCTCTCTCTGTTTCTTGTATTCCTTTAATATGGAGAATTATTTCCAATTCCTTAATATCGTGCCCTGATTTTTTTTCTGTCTTATATTCAAGGGTCACAGTTTTCCTCTCACCATCATTACAGTCTTTTCCCATAACATGTGACATGCCTGTTTGTCTTGGTTGAGTATTTATTTGCAATACATGAATGGCTGTTTTCTTTGATACATTAGTATACATTAGTGACTTACATACTTTTTTTTTTTTCTGAGATGGAGTCTTGCTCTGTCACCCAGGCTGGAGTGCAGTGGCACGATCTCAGCTCACTACAACCTCTGCCTTCCAGGTTCAAGTGATTCTCCTGCCTCAGCCTCCTGAGAAGCTGGGATTACAGATGTGCGCCACCACACCCGGGTAATTTTTATTCTCTTAGTAGAGACAGAGTTTTGCCATTTTGGCTAGGCTGGTCTTGAGCTCCTGACCTGAGGAGATCCACCCACCTTGGCCTCCCAAAGTGCTGGGATTATAAGTGTGAGTCACCTCACTTGTCAATTCTGCACTATTCTTTAGTGTCAGACAATTTGAGGCAAACAATGTCTTTCTCATTCAGATGTGACCTTCAGGGTCTAATTTTTGTATTTTTAGTATAGACAATGTTTCTTTTCTTTCTTTCTTTCTTTCTTTCTTTCTTTCTTTCTTTCTTTCTTTCTTCTTTTATTTTCGTTGTTGATTTTGAGACAGAGTTTCACTCTTGTCACCCAGGCTGGAGTGCAGTGGCATGATCTCAGCTCACTGCAACCTCTGCATCCTGGGTTCAAGAGATTCTCCTGCCTCAGCTTCCTGGGTAGTTGGGATTACAGGTGCCTGCCACCACACCCGGCTAATTTTTTGTATTTTTAGTAGAAACAGGGTTTTGCCACATTGGGCAGACTGATCTCGAATTCCTGACCTTAGGTGATCTGCCAACCTCAGCCTTCCAAAGTGTGCGGTTACAGGCTTGAGCCAGCGCCTGGCCTCTCCTGGCTAATTCTTTGTATTTTTGAAGAGATGAGGTTTCACCATGTCGGCCAGAACGGTCTTGATCTCCTGATCTCATGATCCTCTGGCCTCAGCCTCCCAAAGATCTGGGATTAGAGGTGTAAGTCACTATGCCCAGCTTCAATGTAGCTTTTTATCAAAGTATTTATGTGGGAAAAATCAATCAAAGGGCACAAGCGTTTCAATACTTAGGTTATTTAAGATGAAATTTGTGACCAGAAGAGTGCCAGACACACATGAAATGTTTTGTGCATGAAGGAACCACAAATTAGATAAACAAATTTGAAGGAACTAAGTAACAAATAATTTTCTGTTGTTTGCTTTGGCATGTTATTTTGGTAATGTGATTAATCACGTATGTCGACAGCATTGGGAAGAATTTCCAGATTCTCTGATATGCATGATATCTTAATCATACGAAATAAAGCAAGGCTATCTTAGGAAATTAGGTATCACTGCCAAGGACCTTTACATGAGAAGATAAATTAAAATTACTATTAAATTTGTAACAATCAGATAGGCTGGCAGGCAAGTTGTGTCATTTTTTCTCGGCATTTTTTCTTTTCCTTGATTCAGTAAAACAAACCTAAATGCCAGCTATCTGCAGAACCCTCACTAGACTATGTTTAATGATATGTGAAAGACAGCCTGCACACTCACAGATCCTTGCCAAGTCCCGTTCCCATCCTCACAAAACCTGTGTTACCCTGTGGCTAGATTTATTAAGCAGATGAAAGAGAGAGACGAATGAGAACCATCTTTTTTGAGGTCACTCTACACAGCTCCTGTAGGTAGACAATGACCTCTCCAGTGAGGCTTTTATACTTGGCTCGGGGGTGGAGGCCTTAATCCTAGAAAAGAGGCCTCTCAGTGTGTGGAGGTGATTTAAATCCTTATGAGATAGACGCAGCTCCCCACTTCATCCAGACCTTCACAAGCCCAAACTAGAACCACCGGAAAAACTACTTACAACTGGCCACGAGACCCAGGCAGAGAGGCTGGGAGAGGGTGACCAGAAGAAAGACCGACGTACAAGATACCGCCCTCTGGCACACAGGGCACATGTGTCCCAACACACACACGCACACACAGACGGGCACAGAGCGAAAGAGCGAGAAAGGAGAGAGAGAGAAATAAGAGAGAGACTTACGCACATACACAAACACACAAAGACATAGGGCAGTGGCACGGTAACACCCACCCCCATGCAGCCCCTGAAGCTGCCGTGTTCTGCTCTCCGCACCTACGACCCACCGGTGAGAGTGCAGCTCATGGGCACACAAGCAAACCTCTCCTTTTTTGAAGAGATTCACTGGCACACCGTCCATGCAGACCTGAGGCTGGGATCCCGCCCTGCTTCTTCGGCCCTCCGCCCGCGGTTTCTTCCTCTTGGAGGACCCTCCGTGAATCCCGGCCTCCAGAGATCATCCTGTTGATGCCCTGGCCAGGACTGTTCTCAGCCTCGACTCTGATTAATCCCTCTAATCCCAGGTACTCGCGAGGCGGAGGCAAGAGAATCATTTGAACCCAGGCGGCAGAGTTTGCAGCGAGCTGAGATCCCGCCACTGCACTCCAGACTGGGTGACAGAGTGAGACTCCGACTATTAAAAAATAATAATAAATGATGGCGGATCGGCGGCTGCGGGGACTGGGGCAGTGGCTGGTGAAGTGAAGATTGGGAGAGGGGCCTCATCAACCCTCCGCAAATCCTGGCCTGAGGCTGGGATCTTGCGCTGCCTCCCCTGCGATCTGCCTGAGGTTTCTTGCTCCTGAGGTTTCTTCCTGGTTGTCGACCCTCCGAGAATACCGGTCTCCAGAGACCATCCTGTTAACACCCTGGCCAGGACTGCTCTCAGCCTCGACTCTGACGCACTATCACACAAGGCTTCTACTTTGCCAAGTCTCAGGGACCTATTTCTGGGCCGCAGTGCGGGACACTGTTACCAAAGCGGCGGCTCGGACCTCGCGCATGCGCACTGACGAGGCCGACTCCGCCCTTGCTCCGGAGAGTCAGGCTGCGGACCCTTTAAAAAATGGCTTCAACACAGCTGACTGAGGGGACTGGGGCGGCGGTACAGTCCGAGGCGGCGAGTGGGAAGGGTACTAGGAGGGGGCCTGCAGGATACCCAGGGTTGGACCCATAGGAGTCCTGTCATCAGGACCTTCTCGATCCGTCTTCTGCTTCAGTTCCTGGTGGAGGAGGAGTTTCAGGGTGCCGCTGGGCTCTCTGGACTCCTCTTCGGATCTGATTATGGATCCGAACGGGTGATCAGGAATGGGGTTACAATGTAGTGAGGCGGGAAGGGTCTCGCTGGGGCACAGAAAGATCCCAAGGGCAGTAAGGCGTACTGTAGGCTGAAAATGCACTGACCCATGAGCCCACTGCCTCCCTTCTTCCTGGGTGGAGCAGTGGTCTGCCTTTATCTCCAACGCCCGGGGCTCTGGCATCCCGAAACTGCTTTCCGCCACATGTGCAAAGAGAGACAGAGGCGAGTCCGAGATGGAGCCAATGTGACCACACGTGGCACTGGGGTCATCCAAGAGCAGACAGAATGAGCGTGTGTCTCTGAGGCCATATGGGGCGATGCCGAGAAAGACAGTGACGTCCAGGTGTGTGTCCGTGGGCCACAGGGACCTCCCACAGAAAGCTGAGGAAAAGCCAAGCACACCTAAAAACCTGCGAGACAGGGCCTGTGCCCGAGTCCAAGCCACATTCAGGGATGCTTGCCAGAGGGGCCCAGAGGTTTCGACAAAGTACATCCGACCCCGATCCTGCCAGCGGGTAGGTACCTCTGATGCCAACTCCCCTGCACCCAGCAAAACCCAGTCCTCTCGGTTCCCTGACATCTGTGGCAGCCAAAAGATTCAGTGCTTGAAGGCACTCTCCCCAGGAGCAGAGCAACTGGATGGCCCTCAGAAATGAGAGAGGAAGTACAGGTGGGATGCAACACTGCCTTTCCTAGAAAACAAAGGTCAGCCAAGGTCGGGTCGCCTCCTGCTCTTCCTGGACCCACTACGCAGCCATCACTTTGGATATGGAGACCAAGGGAGCTTCTCTGTCCAAGACAGGTATGGAAGCCCAGAGCTCCAGGATCATCACACCTGCCTCGTCATCCAGAAATAGGTTTGGAGAGGAAAGCAATCATGAAACGGACCCCAAAGAAATTTCTCCCTGATGGACTGGGAAGTGTTCTTTGTTGAAGACATTGAGCCAGACTAAGAAGCCTCTAGGATTCCCAGAACCTGGGCAGACAGAGCAAGAGGGAGGACAGACTAGAGGCCAGCACCCAGGCAGGATACGGCACAATGCCACCATCACGGGAATCCGGGAAAAAGTGTCAAGCGGGTGACTTGGCCAGGAATGCCAGCGTTTGGGTGACAGAAATGCTTGCCGCATCCCGTTGCCGGCTTCCTTCTCTGTCGCTGTGTCGAACTGTTCCTGGATTTCTGAATGAGGGCAAAGTGCAAGAGGAGTGAAAATCATCTTCTTGAAGGTCTGTGGGCACCCTCCTGGGGGTGGACAATGAGCACCTGTGAGGTCTTTGTCCTTGGCTGGGTTGTGGTCATCTTGATCCTAGCAAAGAGGCAGCTGAGGATGGGAAGGGTATTAAAACCCTTGCGAGTCAGGCTGGAGGCTCAGAGCCCCAACAACGAAGCAGGGCCACAGAGAACTCCTGCTTTGCCAAGTCTCAGGGACTGGATTCTAAGACAAACATGGAAATCAATGTGATGGGAGAATCAGCTAGAGCCTTGCGGATAGGCATTTGCTGGGCAGACTCGCGTTGCACTCCTGGAAGACAGTCTGTGGCCCCTTTAAACAATGGTGACAGCACAGTGGCAGGGGGAATCCTGCTGCAGCTGTGGCGATGGCGGGATGCAGGTTCCAGTAGGGGGCGGCAGGGGAGGGAGGGCCATGGGGGTCCCAGGGCCAAATCCCGAGGAGTCCTGTCTTAAAGACTTCCTTGAGCTGACTTCCACCGGTGGAGGGAGAGCTTCAGGGCACCTGCTGGCATCTCAAGACCCCTCTTAAGATCCAATTTTGGACCAATCCGGGTGAAGAAGGATGAGCTCACCACATCTGCTGAGAAAGGAAGGGCCTCGTTGCAGGGCAGAATGATCACATGGGCCTCAAGGTGTGGTGTCAGCAGAAAAATCACTGACCCATGAGCCCTCTGCCTCCCTCCTCCTTTGAAAGAGCAGTCGCCTGCCCCAGTTGTAAAAGCTCTGGGGCGCTTGCAAGCTGATACCTCTTTCCAGGACACATGCAAACAGGGTCAAGGGCAATTCCAAAGTGGAGTCAATTCCAATATGCATGGCACTGGCGTATCCCAGAGCAGATGGTGTGAATGCATGTCACCGAAGGCATATGGGGTGATGGTGAAACACAAGATGGTGTTCAGGCATGTGCCATGTGGAAGGGGGGCACAAGTGACCTTTCCATCAATGCCAAGGAAAATCAAAGAACACCTGGATCCAGGAGGGGGCCAAAAGATTCAGGGAGTCAGTCCACCCAGGAGCAGAGGAGAGAATGTTTCTCAATAATAAGACTGGAAGTGCAGATGAAATGTGACACTGCCTGTCTTAGAAGACTAGGCTGGTCACAGTGGCCTACTGCTCATTCTAGGCAATCCACCAACCGATGAGGTGAAACATGGAGACCAAGGTAGCTTGCCTGTCTGAGACACCTATGGAAGTCAAGCCCTCCAGGGTCATCCAACCAGCCCAATCAAGCAGAAACATGTTGGGAAAGAGAAAAAATCGTGATGCGCATGTCCACCAAGTGTCTCCCTGATGGACTGGAAAGTGATCTTTGTTGAAGACATTCAGCCAGACCTAGATGCATCTAGGCCCCTCAGAAACAGGGGAGACAGAGCAAGAGGGAAGACAGACCAGGGGCCAGAGCCCAGGTAGGATACAGCACTTTGCCACCTCCACAGGCACAAGGGGAGGGGTGCCGAACCGGTGGCTTGTCCAGAGAGGCCGGCGTTCCCATAACAGGGATTGTTGCCATCTCCCATTCCCGGCTTCCTCTTCAAGACTGTATCGTGGTGTGGCTTCATTTCTCAGAGAAGAGCCATGAAAAGAAACAATCATCTTCTTGGAGGTGGGTCTGCTCCTCTCCTGCAGGACAGTGAGCTCCCATGGGGCTTTTGTCCTTGGGTGGAGTGTGGTCATCTTGACCCTAGAAAAGAGGCCGCTCAGGATGGGGATGATAGTTCAATTGCTCCGGGACCGACGCGTCTCCTCACGTGGTCCAGGCCTTCACAAACCCAAAGTGGAACGGCCAGGAAAACGACTGACAGCAGTCCACATGAACCAGGCAGAGATGCAGAAAGAGGCTCACCAAAGACCAGCTGACATGCAAGAAATCGCTTTCTGGCTCACAGGCACATACATCCAAACACACACACACACACCACAGCAAGCACACACAAACACACACACACACCCCGACAGAGAGAGGGAAAGAAACAGAGTGAGAGACAGCGAGAGAGGAGAGAATGGGAGACACACACACATACACACACACACACACACCGTCACATGGCAGTGGCATGGAAACACACCCTCCTCAGCCCTAATGCCACCCCTGAGGCTGGGGGTTTCTGCTCTTGACGAGAACGACCTTCGGGTGACAGAGCGGCCTGAGGGCACGCACGCAGGCCTGTCCTAGAGATCACGGGGGCATGACTTTTGGGGAGACTCACCCGAACACCGTCTGGGCAGGCCTGAGGCTAGGCTGCCGTGGTGCTTCCCACGGACTTCGCCGGGGGTTTCTTCATCCTGGTCGGCCCTTTGAGACTCTTGGCATCCAGAGACGTTCCTGTCGACCCCGTGGAGAGGTCAGGCCAGAGTCTCGGAGCCCGGACGCCCAAGTACTGCCACAGAGGGCTCCTGCTTTGCCAAGCCTCCTGGACTGGTTTCTAAGACAACCATGGGAATCACTGTGACGGGAGAAGCGGCTGGCGCCTCGTGCATGCGCATTGGCTGGGCTGACTCGCGCTCTGCTCCTGGCAGTCAGGCGGAGTCCCCTTGAAACAATGGCAGCTGCGCGGCGGCAGGGGGGCTCCTGCTGCAGCCTCCGCGGCAGCTGGATCCAGGACCCAGTAGGGGGCGGCGTGGGAAAGAGGTCCGCGGGCGACCTAATGCCAAACTCTCAGGAGTCCTGTCTTCAGGACCTGCTTGAGCCGACTTCCACCGATGGAGGGAGAGCTCAAGGGCGCCTGCTGGGGTCTCAGGACTCCTCTTTGAATCACATTTTGGACCCCTCCGGGTGAGAAAGGATGGGATCACCACATCTGCTAAGGCAGGCAGGGCCTCACTGCAACACAGAATGTTCCCACGGGCCTCAAAGCATGGTGTCAGCTGAAAACTCACTGACCCATGAGCTGTCTGTCTCCCTCTTCCATTGAAAGAGCAGTGGCCCGCCCCGCTTCTAAAAGCCCTGGGGCTCCTGCAAGCTGATACCGCTTTCCAGGACAAGTGCAAACAGGGACAGAGGTGATTCCCAGGTGGAGCCAAGGCAACCACGTGTGGCACTGACATATACCAGAGCAGATGGTATGGATGTGTATCACCGAGGGCATATGGGGCGATGGCAAAACAAGCAATGGTGTCCAGGCATGTGCCCGGCTGAAGAGGGGCACAAGTGACCTTTCCATTAATGCCAACCAAAATCAAAGAACACCTGGGATCCAGGAGGAGGCCAAAAGATTCAGGGAGTAAGTCCACCCAGGAGCAGAGGCGAGGATGTCCCTCAAGAATGAGACAAGAGATGCAGAGGACATGCCACACCGTGCCTGTCCTAGAAGACAAGGCCAATCACGGTGGCTTACCGTTGCTTCTCACATGAGGTGAAAAATGGAGACCAAGTAGCTTCCCTGTCTGAGACACACATGGATGCCAAGAGCTCCAGGGACATGAAACCTGCCCAATGAAGCAGAAACAGGTTTGGAGAGAGAAACAATCATGACACGGATCTCCAGGAAGCGTCTCCCTGACGGACTGGGAAGTGATCTTTGTTGAAGACATTCACCCAGAGCGAGAGACATCTAGGCGCCTGAGAAACAGAGGAGACAGAGCGAGAGGGAAGGCAGGGCAGAGGCCAGAGCTCAGGCAGGATACAACACCATGCCACCTCCACGAGCATAAGGGGAGGGGGGACAGAAGTGTGGCTTGTCCAGAGAGGCCAGCGTTCCAGTGACAGGGATTGTTGCCAAGTCCCATTCCCGGATTCGTCTATCGTGATGTGGCTTCATTGCTCATAGAAGAGCCGGGAAAAGATACGACCTCATTTCTGACATGGGTCCACTCCTCTCCTGCAGTACAATGAGCTCCTGTGGGGCTTTTGTCCTTGGCTGCAGTGTGGTCATCTTGATCCTAAAAAAGAGGCTGCTCACGATGGGGATGAGATTTCAATTGCTCCGGGACCGACGCATCTCCTCACGCAGTTGAAGCCTTCACACAACCAAAGTGGTACCGGGGTGAAAACCATTGACAGCCGGCCACAGGACCCAGGCAGAAACGCAGAAAGGGGCTCACCAAAGACAGGCTGCCATGCGAGAAATCGCTTTGTGCTGCACAGGGCACATTCGTCCAAAGACACACTTGCACACGGGCACACACACACAAACCGACAGAGAGAGGGAAAGAAACACACAGAGACTGAGAGACAGAGAGAGAAGAGAGAATGGGAGACACACACAAACATACACATACACACACACACAGAGTCATACAGCAGTGGCACAGAAACACACACCCCCAGGCAACCCCTGAGGCTGCGGGGTTCTGCTCTGGATGAGAATGACCCTGGCTGAGAGAGCAGCCCAGGGGCACGCAGGCTGACCTGTCCTTGAGATCCCGGGGGCACGACTTTTGGGGAGACTCACCCGAACACCGTCCGGGCAGGCCTGAGGCTGGGATGCCTTGCTGCTTCCCCTGGACTCTGCCAGTGGTCTTGTCATCCTGGTCGGCGCTTTGAGACTCCTGGCATCTGGAGACATTACTGTCTACCCTGTGGAGAGGTCAGGCCGGAACCTCGGAGTCCCGACACCCAAGCTCTGCCAAGGAGGACTCCTGCTTTGCCAAGCCTCAGGGACTGGTTTCTAACACAACCGTGGGAAGCACTGTGACGAGAGAATCCGCTCGCGCCTCGGGCATGCGCATTGGCTGGGCCGACTAATGCTCTGGTCCTGGCAGTGGGGCTGAGTCCCCTTTAAATAAGGCCGCGGCTGTGCGGCGGCAGGGGGGCTCCTCCTGCAGCCTTGGCAGTGGCTGGATCTGGGGTCCCGTTTGGGGCCGCGTGGGAGAGGGGGCCGCAGGTGTCCTGGCCCAGGGCCAAACCCCCAGGAGTCCAGTCTTCAGGACCTCCTGGAGCCAACTTCCACCGATGGATGGGGAGCTTCAGGGCGCCTGCTAGGTTCTCAGGACTCCCCTTCAAATCCAATTTTGGACCCCTCCGAGTGAGATAGGATGGGTTCACCACATCTGGTGAGGCAGGCAGGGCCTCCCTGCAGCACAGAATGATCCCATGGGCCTCAACGCATGGTGTCAGCTGAAATTTCACTGATCCCTGAGCCCTCTGCCTCCCTCCCCCTTTGAAAGAGCAGTGGTCTGCCCGGCTTCTAAAAGCCCTGGGCTCCTCCAAGCCAACACTGCTTTCCAGGACACGTGCAAACAAAGAGAGAGGCAATTCCGAGGTGAGGCCAATGCGACCAAGCGTGGTACTGGCGTATCCCAGAGCAGATGGTGTGAATGTGTGTCACCGGAGGCATATGGGGTGACGGCGAAACCAACAATGGTGTCCAGGCATGTGTCCGGTGGAAGGGCGGATCAAGTGACCTTTCCATCAATGACAAGGAAAATCAAAGAACACCTGGGAACCAGGAGGGGGCCTGTGCCTGAGTCCAAGCCACATTTTGAAATGCCTGCCAGAGGATTAAAGAGGTTTCTGAAAAATTCACACCACCTCCAACCCTCCACGGCCCAGGTAGCCCTGACCCAACCTCCCCTGCAACCAGCCCCAGCCCCAGCCCCAGCCCAGTCCCTTTGGTTCCTTTCCCCGACATTCGTTACGGTCAAAAGATCCAGGGAGTCAGTCCACCCAGGAGCAGAGGAGAGATGTCTCTCACGAATGAGACATGAAGTGCAGAGGAAATGTGACACCACCTGTCCTAGAAGACAAGGACTGTCACGGTCGCCTAGTGCTCATTCCAGGCAATCCACCCACCCATGAGGTGAAATACGGAGAGGAAGGAAGCTTCCCTGTCTGAGACAAGTATGGAAGCCAAGAGCTCCAGGGTCGTCAATACTGCCCTATCAAGCAGAAACAGGTTGAAAGAGAGAAACAATCACGACAGGGATCTCCAGGAAGTGTCTCCTTGACGGACTGGGACATGATCATTGTTGAAGATATTCAGCCAGAGCGAGAGGCATCTAGGCCCCTGAGAAACAGGGGAGACAGAGCAAGAGGAAAGACAAAGCAGAGGCCAAAGCCCAGGCAGGATACAGCACTGTGCCACTGCCAGAGGCACGAGGGGAGGGGTGCCAAAAGGGTGGCTTTTACAGAAAGGCCAGCGTTCCAGTGACTATCTGTGAACATGCTTTGTGATGCGTGGGTTATCCCTCAGAGTTAAACATTTGTTTTGACTTAGCAGTTTGGAAACACTCTTTTTTAAGAATCAATGAAGGGATATTTTGAAGCCCATGGATGAGTATATTGATAAACTAAATATCTCACGATAGAAACTAGCAACAAATTATTTGTGAAAATGCTCTGTGATGTGTGGATTCATCTCACAGAGTTAAACTTTTGTTTTCATTCTGCAGGTTTCACTCTTTTGTAGAATCTACAAAAGAACATTTCAGAGCCCACTGAGGCCTATAGTGAAAACTGAATATCTTGTGATAAAAGCTAGAAACGAGCTATCTGTGAAAATGTTTGTGATGTGTGGATTTATCTCATAGAGTTATACCTATGTTTATATACAGCAGGTTGGAAACACTCTTTTAGTAGAATCTAAAAGAAGAAATTTCTGAGTCCTTGAGGCCTATTATAAAAAAACAACTATCCCTGATAAAAACTGACAACAAATTATCTGTGAAAATGCTTTGAGGTGTGTGGATTTATCTCGCGGACTTAAACCCTTGTTTTGGTTCAGAAGGTGGAAAACACTCTTTTTGTAATATCTATAAAGGGACATTTTGGAGCCCACAGAGACCTATACTAAAAAACAAATATCCCAGGATAAAAACTAGAAACAAGCTATGTGTGAAAATGTTTTGCAATGTGTAGAATCATCTCAGAGTTGAACCTTGTTTTAATTGGGCAGGTTGGAAACATTATATTTGTAGAATAAAGGAAGGGACATTTTGGAGCTCATTGAGGCCTATAGTGAAAAACCACATATGCCATGATAAAAACCAGAACAAGCTATCTGTAAAAATGTTGTGCAATGTGTGGTTTCATCTCACAGAGTTTAACCTTTATTTTGACTTAGCAAGTTGGAAACACTATTTTTCTAGAATCTACAAGGGGACATTTCAAACCCAATGAGGCCTGTAGTAAAAAACTGAATATCCCCTGATGAAAACTAGAAACTAGCTATCTGTGAAAATGCTTTGCAACGTGTGGATTCATCTAACAGAGTTGAATGTTAGTTTTGATTCAGCAGGTTGGAAACTTAGCAGGTTGGAAACATTCATTTTGTAGGATCAAAGAGGGGACTTTTCTTAGCCCCCGAGGCCTATAGTGAAAAACCAAATATCCCATGATAAAAACTAGAAACAAGTTATCTGTAAAAATGCTTTGCAATTTGTGGATTTGTCTCACAATGTTAAACCTTTTTTTGATTCAGCAGGTTGGAAACTCTCTTTTTGTACAATCGATGAGGAGATATTTCAAAGCCCATTGATTGAGGCTTATAGTGAGAAACCTAAAATCCTAATAAAAACTATAAAGAAGCTATCTCTGAAAATGCTTTGAGATGTGTGATTTCATCTCATAGAGTTAAATCTTGCTTTTTATTCAGCAGGTTGGAAACATTCTTATTGTAGAATATACGACAGGACATTTCAGAGCAAATTGAGGTCTGTAGTGAAAAACAGAATATACTGTGATAAAAGCTAGAAACAAGGTATCTGTAAAAATGCTTTGTGATGTGTAGATTTATCATACGAAGTTAAACCTTTGTATTGCATCAGCAGGTTGGAAACTCTGTGTTTGTAGAATCTATAAGAGGTCAATTTGGAGCTCATTTTGGCAGGTAGTGAAAAGCCAATATCCCATGATAAAAACTAGAAAAAACCTATCTGTGAAAATGCTTTCTGATGTCTGGATTCATCACACAGAGTTAAAACTTTGTTTTGATTCAGGAGGTTGAAAACACTGTTTCTGGAAAATCTATGGAAGACAGGTTGGAAACACTTCTTTTTGGAGAACCTACAAAGAGACACTTTGGAGACCATTGAGGCCTGTAGTAAAAATACAAATGTCCCATGATGAAAACTAGAATAAGTTTTATGTGAAAATGCTTTGCAATGAGTGGATTCATCTCACAAGGTTAAAGCTTTGTTTTGATTTAGCAGATTGGAAGCACTATTTATGGGGAATCTACAAAGGGACATTTTGGAGCCCACTGAGGCCTCTTTAAAAAATCAAATGTCCCACAATGAAAACTAGAAATAAGCTATCTGTGAAAATGCTTTGTGATGTATGGATGCATCTCCCAGAGTTAAACCTTTGTTTTTATTCAGCAGGTTGCAGACAGTCTAATTCTGGAATGTGTTAAAAGACATTTCAGGGCCCATTGAGAACTATAATAAAAAACCAAATATTCCTTGATAAAAACTATAAAAATCTATCAGTGAAAATCATTTGTGTTGTGTGGATTCAACTGAGAGTTAAAATTGTTTTGATTCAGCAGGTTGGAAAAACCCTTTTTTAGAATCTATGAAGTGACATTTCACAGCCCATAGAGGCCTATAGTTGTAAAACCTAATATTCTGCTATAAAAACAGGAAACAAGCTATCTGTGAAAATACTTTCCAATGTGTGGATTTATCTCACAAAGTTAAACCTTTTTTTTGTTACAGCAAGTCGAAAACACTTTTTTTGAAGAACATTCAAAGGAATATTTTGAAGCCAATTGAGGCCTGCAGTGGAAAACAAAATATCTTATCATAAAAACTTGAAACAAGTTATCTGTGAAAATGCTTTGTGATGTGTTCATTCATCTGACAGAGATAAACCTTTATTTTGATTCAGCAGGTTGGAAACACTCTTTTTGTAGAATCTAGGAAGGAACATTTTGGAGCCCATTTAGGCCTCTAGAGAAAAACCTAATATCCTGTGATAAAAACTAGAAACAAAATATCTGTGAAAATGTTTTATGATGTATGAATTCATCTATCAGAGATAAAACATTTTTTGATTCAGCAGGTTGGAAAAACTCTTTGTAGAATCTATAAAGGGATATTTCAGAGCCCATTGAGGCCTACTGTGGAAAATTGAATATTCTGCAATAAAAACTAGAAACAAGCTATCTGTGTGAATGCTTTGCCATGTGTGGGTTCATCTTACAGAATTAAACCTTTGTTTGGTTTCAGCAGGTTGAAAACATTCTCTTAATAGAATCTACAAAGGGATGTTTCAAAGTACATTGAAGGCTATACTGAAAAACCTAATAGCAGTGATTAAAACTAGCAGCAAGCTATCTGTGAAAATGCTTTCTGATATGTGGATTTGTCTCACAAACTTAAATCTTTGTTTTGATTCAGCAGGTTGGCAACACTCTTTTTGTACAACCTAGGAGGGGACCTTTTGGAGCTCACTGAGGCCTATAGTGAAAAAATGAATATTTCAAGATAAAAACTAGAAACAAGCAATATTTGAAAATGCTTGGCAGTGGGTGGATTCATCTCACAGAGGCAAACCTTTATATTGATTCAGCACGTTGGAAACACTCTTTTTAAAGAGTCTACAAGAGGACATTTTGGAGCCCACTGACAAGTATATTGAAAAACTGAATATGCCACGATACATACTAGCAACAACCTATTAGTGAAAATGCTTTGTGATGTGTGGATTCATCTCATAAAGTTAAACCTTTATTATCATTCAGTAGGTTAAGAACACTCTTTATGTAGCATATAAAAAAAAGACATTTTTGTGAACATTGAGGACTAAAGTAAAACACCAAATATTTCACAGTAAAAACTAAAAACTGTCTGTCTGTGAAAATGCTTTGTGAAGAGTGGATTTATCTCACAGAGTTAAACCTTTTTTTTGATTCAACAGGATGAAAACACCTTTTTTGTAGAATCTATGAAGGGACATTTTGGAGCCTATTGTGGACTATACTGAAAAACCTAATATCCCAGCATAAAAACTAGAAAGAAGCTATCTTTGCAAATGGTTTGCTATGTGTGGATTCATCTTACAGAGATAAACCTTTTTGTATCAGTTAAACCTTTTTTTTATTCCCTGCAAGTTGGAGTCCTCCCACCTGACCACGGGGCCATGTTGTGGACAGCTTGTGCAATGAAGGGAATGCAAGAATGGAGTTGGAAGCACTTCCTGTGTCATCTGTCTGCACCTTTTTTTGCAGATGAAGGTGTAGGACCCCATCCACACCTCAGCAGACTGTATGTTCACCCATATCTGACCTTATTGCTGCTCACACTCCTAGTTCTGGAATGAAATCCCAAGATGTTGGAGGAGTGCTCCCTTCATAACGTGAAGCACCTGCTCAGCTGCAAACTGAATTCAAATTGGATTCAGGTGGCCTGTGGACAGTACTGCTACGGTCCCGCCCTGGGTTGGCCACAGGACAATGAGGCCCTGACAGGTGTCTGCTCCTGAGAGTGGTGTGCTCCTCTTCTTTCTAGAAGAGTGGCTCCTTTGTATGGGGAGGTGATTTGTACACCTGTGAGTCTCAACTATCCCCCCCCAACTCACCGTGGACTCAGGAACCACGGAAAAACAGATAACATGCAGCCCCATATGTCAAGCAGAGCCACACAGACAGGTGCACCAGAAGGTGAAGGGACTCGAAAAAAAAAGTGCTGCAGTGCATTAAACACATTCCTTTTAGCAGATGCCCCTCACACACACACACAGACACACACAAACACACTCACATACAGCCACACACACACACGCAGACATTCAAACACTCACAACACTCCCACAGAAACACACAGCCTGGCAGCTCCTGAGGCTGCACGGTTCTGCAGAAAGCCCCTTCTGAGAGAGAGCAGCCCCAGAAAACAGAGGCGGACTGTACCTAGAAATCACAGGGAGGGAAGTTTCAAAAAGACTCACTCCCACACCGTCTAGGCAGGCCTGACTTATCGTGGGTATCCTTTTCGATCCTTAGGGATTTCGTGGTTTATTCCTGGGGCTCCACTTGATGTTTCTTCAGGCTGGCTCACCACTGCCCACTCCTAGGATTGTGGGAATATCCCATAGAGCCCTCAGAGTAGACAGGTAAGAGTTCAATGCTGACACATATCCACAGAGGACTCCTTCTCCGCCAAGATGAAGGGACTTGTCACCAGGCAATGGTGGCTTCACTGTGACGTGAGACGCTGCTCACCACTGGTGCCTGGTGGCCTGACGGTCACATGTGCATTCACCAAGCAGGCTCAGGCACCTAGCTGTCAGGGCTTAAGCCTGGCAAAGCTCAGGAAAATGGTACAGCCAGAGCTGGCCTAGTCTCCAGAAAAAGGCTACCTGCAGCAACCCACTGCAGCATGCTAATAGTCTCGAACATAGGGCCTTCATGAGCCATCTTCGTGGTAGGGTCCCACAGGAGAAGGAGGAGTTTGAAGACTGTGAGGTGGGCTCTGGAGACTGCTCTTCTGACTCCATTCCCAAAAGAGGCTGCGTGCATGAATTGGGTCTCCTGGGGATGGGAATAAAGTCTGGTGAGTTGTTAAGAGGTCTCTGGGTGATGGAATGATATCTGAGATCCAAGAGGGAGGTGTCAGTGGAAGATGGCCAGGCCCTTGAACCCCCTGCCTTCCTTTATCCCGGGCCTCACAGGGGCTCCTGCTTCTCAGCACGGCTCTCTGGGAAAGGCAGGAACCATGACAAAGGCAAGTACAAGGTGGAGCAGTGAACTCACACCTAAAACAGGCCTCTCACAGGTGCACATGAGGTTGAGAGTGTCTCAGAGGCTGTCCGGGGCAATTTGAAACATGAAAATAATGTCCAGGAGTGCTGTTGATGGGCACTGTGGACCCCCCATGAAAGCAAAGAAAAATCAAGGCTCTCCTGGGAGAATGAGCAGACTTGTGCAGGAGTCCAAGCCATGTTCAAGGATTCCTGCCTGAGGACCTAAAAGCCTCCGGCAAAGTGCAAACAATGCCAGCCACCACTATGAGACCACTACCCACAACCTGGTGTGCAGCCAGCCTACCCAAAATACCTTTTGCTTTCTGATATTCCTGGCAACCAAAATATCCACAATGAAAGTCAGTCCCACCCACCAACAGCCCAATGAAATACCCCATCCACAATGAGAAAGGAAGTGCAGATGACATGAAACAGAGCCTAGATTGCCAGGTAAAATCCAGACACAGCTGCCTGTTTCTCATCCTACAGGAGTCATGCAGCTGTCCTTTAGATGTGGGAGAACAAGAGTTATCTTGATGGTGGATATAATCGAAATTTATCATTCTGAAAGTATCACAACTGCCCAGTCATTAAAATGTGACAGTGTTTATAAGAAAACACTCATGCAATGGATTCCCAAGAGAATCGTCCTCCATGAACTGGGAAACTTTTAGTGTGGAAGACTTTGAGCCAGACCCAGAAAAACCCCAGGTTCATGAGGAACATGAAAGTCAGACTGAGCCAGACCTAGGAAACTCTAGGTCCACAAGGAACATGGAAGTCAGGAAAAGAGGAGGCCAGTGTGGAGGCCACATCCAAACTAGCATCAATCCATCTCACTCCAATGTGGCTCCAGGAATGAAATCTCAATTCTGGAGCTGTCCAGAAGGGCCCCAGTTTACAATCCAACTTTTCCCTGCACGATTGAGTCATCCCACCTGGGCAGCAGGCCATACTGTTGACTGTGCAATGAAGGGAATGAGGGGATGCAGTTGGAAGCAACTTCTGTGTCATCTGTCTGCACCTTTTTTGCAGGTGAAGGTGCGAGATCCCATCCACACCTCAACAGATTGTATCCTCACCCCTATCTGACCTTATTGTTGCTCACACTCTGTGTCCCAGAATAAAATTCCGAGACAAAGGAGGAGTGCCTCCCTGATGACCTGAAGCACCTGCTCAGCTACAAACCAAAATCAAGGTAAATTCAAGAAGCCATGCGACAGGACTCCTGGGGTCTGGCCCTGGGTTGGCCACAGAACAATAAAGCATAGGGAGTTGTCTGTTTTGGGGTGTGGTGTGCTTCTCTTCTTTGTGGAAATGTGGCTTTTTGTCAAGGGGAGGTGATTTTCTCCCCGGCGGTTGTCAGCCATTCTTCCAATTCACTGTGGATTCAGGAGCCATGGAAAAATGAAGAACATGGAGACCCTCAGCCCAAGCAGAGCCACAGAGACAGGCCACTGGAAGGTGGGGTGACAAAAACGTTGCTGCACTGTGTTAGCCACATTTCTTTCAGCAGACTCCACTTACCCCCACACACAGACACAAACACACACTCACATGACCACACTCACACGCAGATATCCACAACTTGAAACACTCCCACAGAAACACACATCCCAGCAGCTTCAGAGGCTGTGTGTTTCTGCAGGAAGCTCCTCTTGCGAGAGAGCAGCCTGGGGAACACAGGCGGGCTGTACCTAGACATCATGGAGTGGGGGAAATTTCAAAAAGACTCACCTCCACACCCTCTAGGCAGGCCCCTTCAGCCGTCTTCATGGTCAGGTCCCGCTGGAGGGGGAGGCACTTGGAGACTGTGATGTGGGCGCTGGAAACTGTTCCTCTGATTCCATTCCCCAAAGAGGCTGTGTGCAAGAATTGGGTCCCATGGGGGAAGGGAATACAGTCTGCTGAGATGTTAAGGGGTGTCCAGGTGATGAAATCATACCCAAGACCCCAGAGGCAGATGTCAGCAGAAAATGGCAGGGCCCTTGAGCTCATTGCCTCCCTTCATCTTGGGCCTCACAGGGGCTCCTGCTTCTCAACATGGCTCTCTGGGAAAGGCAGGAACCATGACAAAGGCAAGTTCAAGGTGGAGCAGAGTCTCACACTTCGAACTGACCTCACGGGTGCAGATGCAGTTCAGAGAGTGTCTCCGTGGCCGTCTGAGGCAATTGCAAGCCAAAAAAGTGTGTCTAGGAGCGCTGATGAAGAGTAGTATGGACTCCTCATGAAAGCAATGGAAAATCAATGCTTGCTTGGAGAATGAGAGGGCCTGTGCTAGAGTCCAAGCCATGTTCAAGGATTCCTGCCAGAGGACCCAAAAGCCTCCTGCAAACACCCCAGTCCCCCACAGTGAGACTACTACTCAAACCTGGAGTGCGGCCAGCCTACCCGAAGTACTTTTTGCTCCCTGAAATGCCTGGCAGCCAAAAGATCTGTAGAGAGAGCCAGTCCCCCCTAGCAACAGATCAATAAAAGATCCCCTCCACAATGAAAAAGAACATGCAGATGATTGTAACAGAGCCTAGATGATCAGGCAAATCCAGACACCGCTGCCTGCTTCTCATCCTACAGGAATCATGTAGCCCTCTGATAAAAGTGGGAGAACCAGAGTTTCCTTGTTGGCAGATATGGTAAAAATGCTTTGCTATGTGTGGATTTTCTTTTCACAGTTAAAACTTTGTTTTGATTCAGAAGGATAAAGACACTTTTTTTGTGTCCCTATGAGGGAAAATTTCAAAATCCATTGAGGCCTATAGTGAAACACCAAATATCCCGCGATTAAAAACTACAAAGAAGCTATGTCTGAAAATGCTTTCCAATGTGTGATTTTATCTCACAGAGTTAAACATTTCTTGTGATTCAGTAGGCTGGAAACTCTCCTTTTCTGGAATCTAAGAGGGGATATTACAGAGCAAATTGAGGCCTATAGTACAAAACTGACTATCCTGTGATAAAAACTAGAAACAAACTATCAGTGAAATGCTTTGTGATGTCTGGATTTATCTCACGAAGCTAAATCTTTAATTCAGCAGTTTAGAAACACTTTCACCCTAGAATCTACAAAGGGACATTTTGGAGCCCACTGATGCCTATAGAGAAAAATGGAATATCCCGCGATGAAAACTTGATGCAAGCTATCTGTCAAAATGCTTTGAGGGCATGGAATTATCTCACAGAGCCAACTTTTTGTTTTGATTCAGCACGTTGGAAACATATTTTTTGTAGAATCTAAGATGAGACATTTTGAAGCACATCGAGGCCTGGAGTTTAAAACAAAATATCCTGCGATAAAAACTAGAAAGAAGCTATCTGTGAAAATGCTTTGTGATCTGTGAAATAATGGCACACTGTTAAACCTTTGTTTTAATTCAGCAATTTGGAAACACTCTTTTTACGGAATCTACAAGGGGACATTTCGGAGCCCATGGAGGTCTATAGTGAAAAACAGAATGTCTCCCGATAAAAACTAGAAGTAAGCTATTTGTGAAAATGCTTTAGGATGTGTGGGCTCATCTCAAAGAGTTATACCTTTCTTTTGATTCAGCAGGTTGAAAACAGTCTTTTTGTAGTATCTACCAATAAACATTTCAGAGCCCATTGAGGCCTACAGTGAAAAACAGAATATCCTGCGGAAAAAAAACTAGAAGCTTGCTATCTGTGAATATGCTTTGTGATGTGTGGATTCATCTTACAAATTTAAACCTTTCTTTTGATTCCATAAGTTGGAAACACTCCTTTTATTGAATCTAAAAAGAAAAAATGTCAGAGCTCATTGGGGCCTATAGTAAAAAAAAAAAAAAAAAAAAAAAAAAAAAAAAAAAACACAGAAAACAAATATTACACGTTGAAAACTAAAAACAAGCTATCAGTGAAAATGTTTTCTGATGTGTGGATTCTTCTCGCAGAGTTAAACTTTTTTTTTTTATTTAGCATGTTGGAAACACTCTTTTTGTAGAATTTATGAAGGGTCATTTTGGAGCCCTTTGGGGCACATAGTGAAAAACTGAATATTCTGCGATATAAACTAGGAATAAACTATCAGTGAAAATGGTTTGTGATGTGTTGATTCATCTCCTAGAGTTAAACCTTTGATTCAACAGGTTGAAAACACTTTTATTGTAGAATCTATGAAAAGCATTTTCAAAGACTTTTGAGGCCCATGATGAAAAATCAATTATCCTGCGATAAAAACTAGAAAGAAGATATCTGTCCAAATGCTTTGCAGTGTTTGGATTCATCTCACAGAGTTAAACCTCTGTTTTAATTTAGCAATTTGGAAACACTCTTTTTGTTGAATCTATGAATGGGAATTTCTGAGACCTTTGAGGCATATTGTAAAAAAGTGAATATCCCACACACACAAAACTAGAAAACAGCTCTCTGTGAAAATGACTGGCAGTGTCTGGATTCATCTCACAGAGTTAAACATTTGTTATCATTCAGCAGGCTAGAAACACGTTTTCCGTAAATCTAAGGAAAGACATTTCGAACCCCTGAGGCCTATAGTGAGAAGCAGAATATCCCGTGATAAAAACTACAAACAAGTTATCTGTGAAAATGCTTTGTGATATGTGAAATAATGTCACATATTTAAACCTTTGTTTTAATTCAGCAGTTTGGAAACACTCTTTTTGTAGATTCTACATAAAAACATTTCGGAGCCCATTGAGGCCTATAGTGAAAAACCAAATATCCCATGAAAGAAACTAGAAGCAAGCTATCTGTGAAAAAGCTTTGCAATGTGTGGATCCAACTAACAGAGTTACAACTTTCTTCTCATTCGGCAGAATCAGAACACTCAATTCAATCAGAATTGAAACAATCCTTTTCTAGAATGTACGAAGAAACATTTCAGAGCCCATTGAAACCTATAGTGAAAACCCTAATATCTCATGATAAAAAATGGAAACAACCTATCTGTAAAAATGCTTTGGGATGTGTGGATTCATCTCAAAGAATTAAACATTGTTTTCATTCAGCAGGTTGGATACACTCTCTTTGTACAATCTACACAAGGACATTTCAAAGCCCATTGAAGCCTGTAGTGAAAAACTTAGTGTCCTGTAATAAAAACTACAAAAAAAGCTGTGTCTGAAAGTTATATGCAATGTGTGATTTCATCTCACAGAGTTAAATCTTTCTTGTGATTCAGCAGGTTGATGAAAAACTGATTATCCCACGATGACATCCAGAAACAAGCTATCAGTAAAAATTCTTTGTGATGTGTGGATTCATCTCAGAGAGTTAATCATTTTTTGATTAAGCAGATTGGAAACACTCTTTGTGTAGAATCTGCAAAGGGACAGTTTGAAGCCCATTGAGGCCCATAGTGAAATACCAAATATCTCATGATAAAAGTAGAAACAAGCTGTCTTTGAAAATGCTTTGTAGTGTGTGGGTGCATCTCACAGATTTAAATCTTTGCATTTATTCAGCAGGTTGAAAACACTATTTTATAGAATATATGAAGGGATATTTCACACCCATTGATGCATATAGCAAAAAACAGAATATTTCACAATAAAAACAATAAAAGTTTATATCTGAAAATGCTTTGTGATATGTGGATTCATCTTCCAGAGTTAAATATTTGTTTTGATTCAGCAGGTTGGAAACACTCTTTATGTAGAATCTATGAAGGGCCATTTCAGAGCCCATTGAGACCTACAGTGAAAGACCAAATATCCCACAGAAAAAAAAAAAAGAAAAGAAAAAAGCTATCTGTGAAAATGGTTGCCATTGTGGATTCATGCCACAGAGTTAAACCGGTGTTTTAAATATGCAGGTTGGAAAAACTCTTTTTGCAGAATCTACAAAGAAATATTTCAAAGCCCATTGAAGCCTATAGTGAAAAACAAAATATGTGGAGAAAAAAACTACAAACGAGCTATCTGTGAAAATGTTTTCCAATGTGTGGATTCATATAATGGAGTTAAAGCTTTATTTTGATTAAGCAGGTTGAAAGCAGTCTGTTTTTAGAATCTATGAGAAGACATTTTAGTGCCCATTGAGGCCTATGGTGAAAAACTGAATATCCTGTGATAAAAATGAGAAACAGCCTATCTGTGAAAATGCTTTGCAATGCGTAGATTTAACTCACAGAGTTAAACCTTTGTTTTGATTTAGCTAGTTGGAAACACTCTTTTTGTGGAATCTACGAAGGGACAATATGGAGCCCCTGGAGAAGTATTTGGAAAAAGCGAGTATCCTACGATGAAAAGTAGAAACAAGATATCTGTGAAAATGTTTTGCAATGTGTGGATCTATCTCACAGAGTTAAGCCTTTGTTTTGATTCAGCAGGCTGGAAACCCTCTTTTTGCAGATTGTACAAAAGGACATTACAAAGCTCATTGAGACCTATAGTGAAAAGTTAAATATCCCACAATGAAAACTAGAAACAAGCTATCTGTGAAAAGTTCTTGTGATTTGGGGAATCATCTCTCAGAGTTAAACATATGTTATTTTTTTCAGCAGGTTGAAAACACTATTTTTGTAGAATATATGAAGGGACATTTCGGAGCCCATGGACAAATACAGTAAAACACTGAATATCCTGCAATAAAAACTACAAACAAGCTATCTGTGAAAATGCTTTGCATTGTGTGGATTCCTTTCACAGAGTTAAACATTTGTATTGATTC
Source organism: Homo sapiens (assembly GCF_000001405.40). Classification (NCBI taxonomy): domain Eukaryota; kingdom Metazoa; phylum Chordata; class Mammalia; order Primates; family Hominidae; genus Homo; species Homo sapiens. The sequence goes on along the minus strand of NC_000012.12, from coordinate 37,528,021 downwards.
AGCAGGTTGGAAACACTCTTTTTGTAGAATCTACTAAAGGCCATTTCAGAGTCCATTGAGTACTACTATAGTGAAAGACCGAATATCCCATGATAAAAACTAGAAACAAGCTATCTGTGAAAATGCTTTTCAGTGTGTGGATTCATCTCAAAGAGTTAAACATCCATTTTAATTTGGCAGATTTGAAAAACTCTTTTTGCACAATCTACGAAGAAATATTTCAAAACCCATTGAAACCTACAGTGAAAAACAAAATACGAGGAGATGTAAACTAGAAACAAGCTATCTGTGAAAATCCTTTGGGATGTGTGTATTCATATCACAGAGTTAAACCTTTCTTTTGATTAAGCAAGTTGGAAACAGTCAGTTTGTAGAATCTAGGAGAAGACATTTTGGTGCCCATTGAGGCCTATAGTGAAAAATGAAATATCCCATGATAAAAACAAAACAAACAAACAAAACCAAGCAATCTGTGAAAATATTTTGCAATGTGTGGATTCACCTTACTAAGTTAAATCTTTATTTTGATTCAGCACTTTGAAAACCCTCTTTTTGCACAATCTATGAGAGTCATTTGGGAGCCTGTTGAGGTCTATAGTGAAAAACCAAGTATCTCATGATAACACCTAGAAACTAGCAATCTGTGAAAGTGCTTTGCAATGTATGGATATATCTCACAGATTTAAACACTTGTTTTGATTCAGTAGGTTGGAAACACTCTTTTTGTAAAATCTACATAGGGACATTTCAGAGTACATGAAAGCCATTAGTGAAAAACTGAAAATCCTATGACAAAAACTAGTAAAAACTATCTGTGAAAACACTTTGTGATGTTTCAATTCATATCACAGAGTTAAAACTTGTTTTAATTCAGCAGGTTGAAACACTCTTTTTGTAGAAACTAAAATGGCACATTTCAGAGAACACTAAGGCCTAAAGTTAAAAATGTTATATCTCAAGATAAAAACTAGAAACAAGCTATATATAGAATGCTTTGCAATGTCTGGATTCAACTCACAGAGTTAAACCTTTGTTTTTATTCAGCAGGTTGTAAATGCTCTCTTTGTAGAGTCTATGAAGGGACATTTCAGAGCCCATCAAGAAGTATATGAAAAAACTGAACATCCTGCAATGAAAACTAGACACAAGCTATCTGTGAAAATTCCTTCCTATGTGTGGATTCCTCTCACAGTACAAAACCTTTATTTTTATTCAGCAGACCAAAATCACTCTTTTTGTAGAATGTACAAAGGGACATTTTGGAGCCCATTGTGCCCTGTCATGAAAAACTGAGTATTGCGTGATAAAAACTAGAAACAAGCCAACTGTGAAAATGTTTTATGATTTGTTATTTTATGTCAGAGAGTTAAACCTTTGTTTGTATTCAGCAGGTTGAAAACACTCTTTTTGTAGACTCCATGAGGGGACATTTCAGAGCCTATTGAGGTCTATGGTGAAAAATCAAATATCCTGTGATAAAAACCAGAAACAAGCTATCTGTGAAAATGCTTTGAGATGTGTAGATTTATAGATTTATCTCACAGAATTAAATGTTTGATTTATCAGGTTGCAACAACTCTATTTGTAGAATCTACGAGGGGACATTTCAGAGACCATTGAGGCCTACACTGAAAAAACTGAATATCCCATGATAAAAATTAGAAACAAGCTATTGGTAAAAATGCTTTGCAATGTGTGGACTTATCTCACAAATTTAAACCATTGTTTTGATTTATCAGGTGAGAAACACTCTTCGTAGAATCTAAGAAGGCACATTTTAGAGCCCATTGAGGTCTAAAGTAAAAAACCAAATATCCCACAATAAAAACTAGAAACAAGCTATATTGGAAAATGATTTGTGATGTATGGATTCATTTCAAAGAATTAAACCTTTGCTTTGATTGAGCAGGATTGAAGCACTCTTTTTGTAGAATCTACGAAGGGACATTTTGAAGCCCATTGAGGCCTATAGTCAAAAACCAATTATCCCATGATAAAAACTAGAAACAAGCTATCAGTGAAAATGCTTTGTGATGTAAGGATTTCTTGAACAGAGTTATGCCTTTGTCTTGATTCAGTCAGTTGCATACAGTCTTTTCATAGAATCCATGAAGTGACATTTCAGAGCCCATGGAGGAAAATATTGAAAAACTGAATATCTCGCGACAAAAAGTAAAAACAAGTTACTCGTAAAAATGTTTTGTGATGTGTCGATTCATCTCACAGTGCTAAGCCTTCATTTTTATACAGCATTTTGGAAACACTCTTAGTAGAATCTAAGAGGGGAAAATTCTGAACCCATTGAGGCCTATGGTAAAATATCCAACATTCCGTGATCAAAACTAAAAACAAGCTATCTGTGAAAATGTTTGCAATGTGTGGATTCACCTTAAAGAGTTGAAGTTTTGCTTTGGTTCAGCAAGGTAGAAACATTCTTTTTGTAGAATCTACAAAGGACATTTCTGAGCCCACTGAAGACTATAGTGAAAAACCAAATATTCCATGATAAAAACTAGAAAAAAAATCTGTGAAAATGCTTTGCAATATTTGAATTTATCTCACAACATTAAATATTTGTTTTGATTAAACAGGTTGGAAACTCCTTTTTTTTTTTTTTTGTACAATTTATGAGGAGGCATTTCAAAGCCCATTGAGGCTTATAGTGAAAAACTGAATATTCTGAGATAAAAACTATATGAAGCTGTCTCTGAAAATTATTTATGATGGATAATTTCATCTCACAGAATTAAACCATTCTTTTGATTCAGCAGGATGGAAACACTCTTTTGGTAAAATCTTCAATAGGACATTTCAGAGCAAATTGATGCCCACAGTGAAAAACCGAATATCCAGCAATAATGTGCAGATTCATCTTACAAAGTTAAACCTTTATTTTGCTTCAGATGCTAGAAAACTCACTGCTTGTAGAATCTATGAGGGTACAATTTGAAGCCAATATTAGCCTGTAGTGAAAAACCAATATCCCACAATAAAAGTAAAAAAAGCTATTGTCCAGGCGTGGTGGCTCATGCCTGTAGTCCCAGCACTTTGGGAGGCTGAGGCGGGTGGATCACGAGGTCAGGAGATCGAGACCATCCTGGCTAACACAGTGAAACCCCGTCTCTACTGAAAACACAAAAAATTAGCCTGGCCTGGTGGCGGGCGCCTGTAGTCCCAGCAACTTGGGAGGCTGAGGCAGGAGAATGGCATGAAACTGGGAAGCCGAGATCGCGTCACTGCACTCCAGCCTGGGTGACTGAGTGAGGCTTCATCTAAAAAAAAAAAAAAAAAACAAAAAAAAACACCTATCTTTGTAATGTGTGGATTTATCTCAAAAAGTTAAACGTTGTTTTGATTCAGCAGGTTAAAACACCCTTTTTGTAGAATCTACAGAGGAATCTTTCAAAGCCCATTGAAGCCTATAGTGAAAAATCAATATCCCGAGATAAAAACTAGAAACAAGCTATCGGGGAAAATGCTTTGCAATGTGAAGATTTACCTCACAGAGGTAAACCTTTATTTACATACAGCAGGTTGGGGGACACTCCTTTTGTAGAATTGAGTTACAATTAACACTCCATTGAAGCTTATAGTGAAAAACCCGATATCCAGTGATGAACCCTAGAAACAAGCTATCTGTGAAAATTCTTTGTGATGTGTGATTTCATATCAAAGAGTTAAACCTTTATTTTTGTTCAGAAAAATGAAAAAAAATTTTTGGAGAATCTGCAAAGAGACATTTCTGAGCCCATTGAGGCCAATCGTAAAAAATCAAATGTCTCACCATAAAAGCTAAAAACAAACTATTTGTGTGCTTTCCAATGCGTAGATTCATTTCACAGAGTTAAACCTTTGCTTTTATACTGGGAGTTGGGAATACACTTTTATAGAACCTATGAATGGACATTTCAGAGTTCATTGAGGCCTATATTGAAAAACTGAATATCCTGCGGTAAAAACTAGGAAAAAACTATCTGTGAAAATGCTTTGTGAGGTTTGGAGTCATCTCACAGATTTAAACTGTTGTTTTGATTCAGCAGGTAGGAAACACTATTTTTGTAAAATCTACTATGAGACATTACTGAGCCCGATGAGGCATATAGTGAAAAACCGAATATCATGCTTTAAAAACTAGAAACAAGTGATCTGAAAATATGCTTTGTGATGTGTGGATTCCTCTCAAAGAGTTACACGTTTGTTTTGATTCAGCAGTTTTAAAACACTCTTGTTATAGAATCTACAAAGGGACATTTCAGAGCACTTGAGGCCTTTAGTGAAAAACCGAATATCCCACAATAAAAATTAGAAACAAGCCATCTGTGAAGATGCTTTGTGATGTGTGGATTTATCTCACAGAGTTAAGCCTTCCTTTTTATTCCATAGGTTGGAAACACTCATTTTGTACAACCTACAAAGGGACATTTCAGAGCTCATTGAGGCTAATATTGGAAAATCTAATATCCTGCGATAAATACTATAAAGAAGGTATTTCTGAAAATACTTTGTGATGTGTGATTTCATCTCAAAAGTTGAACTTTTCTTTTGATTCATCAGTTTGGAAACTTTATTTGTAGAATGTCCAAGGGGAGATTTCATAACCCATTGAAGCATACAGTGAAAAATCAAATATCTCTTGATAAAAACTCAAAGCAACCTATCTGTAAAAATGCTTTGCAATGTGCAGATTCATCTTACAAAGTTAAACCTGTATTTTGCTTCAGCAGGTTGGAAACTCTTTGGTTGTACGATCTACAAGGCAACAATTCATAGTCCATTGAGGCATTTAGTGAAAAACTAAATAACCCATGGTAAAAATTAGAAACAAGCTATGGGTGAAAATGCTTTGTGATGTGTGGGTTCATCTCACAAAGTTAAAACTTTGTTTTGATTCAACAGGTTGGAAACACTCTTTTTGTAGAATCTACAAAGGGACATTTCAGAGCCCATTGATGCTTATAGTGAAAAACCAAATACCCCAGGATAAAAACTAGAAAAAGGATATCTGTGAAAGAGCTTTACATATCATCTCACAGAATTGAACATTTGTTTTGATTCAGCAGGTTGGAAATATTCTTTTTGTAGAATCTACAAGGGGAAATTTTGGAGCAAATTGAGGCCTATAGCATGAAATCGAATATTCCGCAATAAAAACTAGAGAAAATCTATCTATAAAAATGCTTTGTGATGTGTGGGTTCATCTCACAAAGTTAAATATTTGCTTTCTTTCAGCATGTTGGAAACACCTTTTTGTAGAACCTATGAGGGGACATTTCATAGCCCATGGAGGCCTATAGTGAAAAACTGAATATTATATGATAGAAACTATGGAAGCTATATGTGAAAATGCTTTGCAATTTGTGGTATCATCACATACAGTTTAAACTTTCTTTTGATTCAGCTAAGTTGGAAACACTCTTTTTGTAGAATGTATGAAGGGACATTTCGGAGCCCATTGAGGCCTATAGTGAAAAGCCGAATAATTCGTGATAAAAACTAGAAGCAAGCTATCTGTGAAATAGCTTTGCAATGTGGGGATTTATTTCACAGAGTTAAACTTTTGTTTCTACACAGTAGGTTCAAAACTCTCTTTTAGTAGAAGCTAAGAGGGGACAATTTAGAGCCCTTTGAGGCTTATAGTGAAAAATTCAAAGTTTTGTGATTAAAAACTAGATACAAACTATCTGTAAAAACCTTTGGTGATGTGAAAATTCATCTCACACTGTTAAACATTTTTTTGATTCAGTACGTTGGCAAAAATTTTTGTAGACTGTACAAAGGGACATTTTGGAGCCCATTGAGACCAATATTGAAAAAATGAACATCCTGCTATAAAACTAGAAAAGTTCTTGGTGAAAATGCTTTCTGATGTGTGAATTCATCTCACAGATGTAAATCTTTGTTTTCATTCAGCCAGTTGGAAATACGCTGTTTATAGAGTTCAGGAGGGGATATTTCAGAGCCCATTGAAGCCTCTAGTTGAATACTGAATATTCCTGGTGACATATGGTGTTGAGCATCTTTTCAGAGGTCTAAGAAATGTGCCAGGTATGGTGGCACACGCTTGTGGTCCCAGCTGCTCAGGAAGCTGAGGTGGGGAGGGTTACTTGAGCCCTGGAGGTTGGGGCTGCATTGAGCCATGATTGCACCACTGCACTCCAGCCTGAGTGACAGAGGTAAACCCTGTCTCAAAAAGATAAATAAGACCTGGTGCAATCTCTCATGCCAGTAATCCAAGCACTTTGGGAGGGCAAGGTGGGTGGACCACGAGGTCAGCAGATTAAGACCTTCCTGGCTAACACGGTGAAACCCCATCTCTACTAAAAATATAAAAAATTAGCCAGGCATGGTGGCGGGTGTCTGTAATTCCAGCTACTCAGGAGGCTGAGGCAGCAGAATCGCTTGAACCCGGGAGGCAGAGGTTGCAGTAAGCCAAGATCGTGCTGTTGCACTCCAGCCTGGGCAACAGAGTGAGACTCCATCTCGAAAAATAAATTAAGAAATAATAATTAACAAATAAATAATTGACTTAATTTTTAGAACAGTTGTAGGTGTACAGAAAAATAGAGCAGAAGGCATATTGAGCTCTAATATCTGCCTCACACCACAGTACATACACTTCCTCTATTATCATCTTGTTAGTGTGGTACATTTGTTATGCTTGATGAGCCAATATTGTTATTATTAAGTTCATGGCTTAAATTAAGATTTGCTCTTTGTGTTCTACCACTTTTGGGCTTTGACAAATGCTTAAGCACACATATCCACCATTATAGGGTCACACAGAAAAATGTCACTGCCCTAAAAATCTTCTGTGTTCCACCTATTCATCCTTCCCTCTGCTCAAGCCCCTGGCAACCACTGAACTTCTTATAATACGATCTGCCTAGTTTTGCCTTTTCTAGTATTCCGTATAATTGGAACTCTACACTATGTGGCCTTTTTGCATTGGCTTCTTTCACTTAGAAATACGTGTTTAAGATTCCTCCATGTCTTGTCATGCCTTGGTAGTTCACTTCTTTTTATTCCTGAAGAATATACCATTGCATGAATGTTTCACAGTTAGTTTATCCATTTCCCTATTGTAGGATATCTTGGTTACTTCCAATCTTTGTTGGTTATCTATAAACTGCTATAAATATTCATGTGCAGAATTTGAGTGGATATAAGTTTTCAAGTCAGTTGAGTATATACCAAAGAATGCAATTGCCAGATCATATGGTAAGCGTATGTTTAGTTTTGCAGGAATTTGCAAAACTGCCTTACACGGTGGCTTTACCATTTGGCATTCCCAGCAGCAATCAATGAGAGTTCCTTTTGCTCCATATCCTCATCAGCATTTGATGGTGTCAGCGTTTGGATTTGAGCCAGTCTAATAGATATGTAGTGGTATCTCATCATTGTTTTAATTTGAACTCCCTAGTGACATATGGTGTTGAGCATCTTTTCAGATGCTTATTTCTGCTATCTATATAGCAAAGGGCAGATACAGACGGTGGACTGCAGGGAAAGAGCTTGCTATGATGATAGGAAGCTGCAGGCAGAGATGATCTCCGGGTTAACTGGGCATCGACTGTGCCTTCTCCTGTCACATAAAATGTGATCTACCTGAGTTTTGACTGGAAACACAGAATATCTGGTTGTCCATAAATATTTCTTATTGAGGTTGAGGTTTATGTATGTTATGATCAAAAGGTGATATCACCCCAATATATAAGCAGGTTGGGGTACAACAGAGAATGACTGTCAGAGATGTTGAAAGTCTACATTAAATGGATGGTGTCACTGGCTGCCCATATATTTCTCATTATGGACTTTAACTTTTAATTTGCCACATGAAAGGCCACTGAGATAGGCTAAATCATATTTTTCTCTTGGGGATCTCTGTTACTGAGAAATTTTTGCATACTGGGCTACACTGGGTTCATAATCTGACTATATATATATCGTGTGTATGTTTGTTTCTTCCCTAAAATGCTCAGTTCAGCTGCAGTTCTAGAGTTTTCCATTTTAGAGAGTTGAAAATCTGAGGTCTGGAGAAGTTAGTGTTAGAAAGTTATATTTAACAAGTGGCAAGAACATGTGCCCACGTCAGATAAGCTGCCTTCAGATTTTACTCTTGAACTTCTACTGGATAATGACTTTTTGTTATAGAAAAGAAAGAGTGAACTTAGATTTCTTTTTTCAAAATCATGGACTGTAAGAGTTCTTTCAAGAAATGATGAAAAGCAATATTGTCTCATTTTACATTACCTATAATTATGCTCACCAGAAATTGATTATTGATGTAGCAACCTTTTACATTCTTCTCTGCTTTATTATGCATGAGGGGCCTTCACTGTAAATAAGAGGTCCAAGATTCAGAAATATCTTTAACTTGCAATGCTTGGTCACATGTATCCATCTGAAAAATATTTTACTCATTAGCCATATGGACTCATATGGCAAACTACAGCCAGAGACACAAAATGTGGAAAGAAGAAAGGGCTATCAGAAGTCCCGTGTCTCCTTACATTTTGTATTTCTATTCATATGCATCTAGAATCATAAGGAATTTGAGCAAATGGGAAATGCAAAGTCCTAATCAAAGCATACCCACATTTCAGTTATCTGCATTATTGCACATTTAAATTTATAATGCATACATAGGATACAATTCAATAGGTATAAAAATGTTAAGTAACCTTTTCTCTCATGCACCCCACTCACTCGGTAGCTCACTTTAGAGTCAACATTTTAATTTTGTGGTGCATACTTTCATAAATTTTCTCTCTCTCTCTCTCTATATATATATACACACACATATATATACGTATATATATACATGTATAGATATATACGTGTATATATATACACGTATATATATGCATATATACGTGTATATATACAGGTATATATATACGTGTATATATATATACATATATATACATATACACGTATATATATGTGTATATATACATATATACACATATGTATACATATATATATATATATATATATATATATATATATATATATATAATTTTTTTTTTTTTTGAGGTGGAGTCTCGGCCTGTCACCCAGGCTGGAGTGCAATGGTGAGATCTCATCTTACTGCAACAGCTGCCTCCTATGTTCAAGCAATTCAACTGCCTGAGTAGCTAAGATTACAGGTGTGTGCCACCACACCTGGCTAATTTTTTGTGTATGTTTTTAGTGGAGATGGGGTTTCACCATGTTGGCCAGGCTGGTCTCAAACTCCTGACCTCGTGATCTGCCCGCCTCGGCCTCCCAAAGTTTTGGGATTACCAGCGTGAACTACCACACCTGGCCATTTTTTTCTCTTTAAAATAAATTTTATTGTATATATTTAAGGTACACATATGATGTTATAGAATACATATACATAGGAAAAAGGTTACTATAGTGAAGCAAATTACCATATCTATCACAGATACCCACATTTTTTGGTGTGGCAAAGGAAGGTAAAATCTTATTTAGCATGAGTCCCATATACAGTACAATTTTATTACCTATAGTCCTCATGTTGTATATAGATGTAGAGGATTGTTCATCCTATATATCTGCTACTGTGTATCTCTGACCCACATGTCCTTATTTCCTCCCTTCCTCTCTACTTGATAACCACTCTGTTGTTCTCTATTTTTTTTTTTTTTTTTAGGCAGAGTCTCACTCTGTTACCTCCCAAAAGTCCTGAGATTATAGGCGTGAGCCACCGCACTTGGCTGCTTTCACCATTTCAGACTGAACTTAGAGAAGAACCTGAGGAAAAACATGACTTTAAAATTTTGATGAATGGAGAAATCTCTTTCCATTCACCTTCCTTTCCTCTATTTTATTCTTATTGTGAAATATGCAAACAAATATATGGATACATCAGTGATTTAATAAACATCTGTGTGATACCTATCCAAGTGAAGAAATAGAGCACTCACCACCGAGAAGTCCTCTGTATGCCCCTAACTGATCCTAAAGTCTTCCTTCCCTTATTAGTAACAGATATAACAGATACCCACATTACCTGTGGATATCTGCATTTCTCTCCTTGGTTCTCTTTATAATTTTATTATGTGTTTTTTTATTTCTTTCCTTTTTTTTTTTTTTTTTTTAGAGATGGAGCCTTGCTCTGTCACCCAGGCTGGAGTGTAGTGGCATGATCTTGACTCATTGCAACCTCCGGCTCCCAGATTCAAGTGATTCTCATGCCTCAATCTCCCAAATAGCTGGTATTACAAGCATGGGCTATGTGCCACCACACCTGGCTAATTTTTGTATTTTTAGTAGAGACGGGGTTTTACATGTTGGTCAGGCTAGTCTCGAACTCCTGATCTCAGTGCCTGGCCTTATTATGCATTTTTTAAAAGCCTAAAGTAAAGTCTGGTTTTGCCTGTTTTTTCTCTTACATAATTGGAGTAAAAGTCTGTATCCTGCTGCATCTGGCTCCTTTTACTGAATATTAAGTATTTAATATTCACACTTAGCATTGTTTCTGCATTCTATTAAAATGGTACACTAGACAGGCACGATGGCTCATGTCTATAATCCCAGCACTTTGGGAGGCCGAGGCAGGCAGATCATTTGAGTTCAGGAGTTCCAGACCACCCTAGCCAACATGGTGAAGCCCCATCTCTACTAAAACTACAAAAATTAGGCCATGCAGTGGCTAATGCCTGTCATCTCAGCACTTTGAGAGGCTGAGGCAGGCGGATCATGAGGTCAGGAGATCGAGACCATCCTGGTGAACACGGTGAAACCAAATCTCTACTAAAAATACAAAAAATTAGCTGGGCGTGCTGGCATGTGCCTGTAGTCCTAGCTACTCGGGAGGCTGAGGCTGAAGAATCACTTGAATCTGGAAGGTGGAGGTTGCAGTGAACCAAGTTTGCACCACTGCACTCCAGCCTGGGTGACAGAACTAGACTCTGTTAAAAAAAAAAAAAATGGCTGGGCGTGGTGGTGGGTGCCTGTAATCCCAATTACTCAGGAGGCTGAGGCAGGAGAATCAGTTGAACTTGGGAGGTGGTGGAGGTTGCAGTGAGCCAAGATTGCACCCTGTACTCCAACCTGGACAACAGAGTGAGACTCAGTCTCAAAAAAAAAAAAAAAAAAAAAAAAGGCCGGGCGTGGTGGCTCCCACCTGTAATCCCAGCACTTTGGGAGGCTGAGACAGGTGGATTACCTCACGTCAGGAGTTTGAGACCAGCCTTACCAACAAGGTGAAACCCTGTCTCTACCAATAATACAAAAATTTGTTGGGAGTGGCGGCACCCATCAGTAAGACCAGCTACTCGGGAGGCTGAGACAGGAGAATTGCTTGAACCTGGGAGGCAGAGATTGCAGTGAGCCGAGATCACGCCCTACACTCCAACCTGAGGGACTAAGCATAGACCTCATCTCAAAAATAAAAATAAAAATAAAAATACAGTACACCATTGTGTATCCCTTCATTGTTGGTGGACATGTGGGTTGTGTTCATTTTTGTCAGTTACAAATGATACTGTTGTGAACATTTGTGTATTTCTATTTGGTTACCATTAGTGTGTATAGTGAACAGTATAAAACAAGAGGTGAAACCATAGGTTACAGGGTAAACATATCTTCCATTTTACTAGCTATTACTGGTTTCATCCCAATGTTAACACACCAACTGACAGTCTTACAATGTCTGATAATTCCCAAATATTTGTACTCTTGTTGACACTTAATTTTGTCAAAATTTTAATTTGAGCCTTTTGGTGGGTATGTGGCAATGATTGTGATATTAATTTATTGGGCCTTTTCTTCTCTGTAACTAGCCCTGTCAAGATATATGTGTGGTGTGGGAGGGGTAGGAGGCTTGAGAGGTAGCATGGGCTCTGGCATCCTTAATAATTCTATGTGAAAAAGTTGGTGGGGCAGTGATTTTCTTTTCTTTTTTTTTTTTTTTTTTTGAGACAGGGTTTTGCTCTTGTTGCCCAGGCTGGAGTGCAATAGCGTGACCTCAGCTCATTGCAACCTCCACCTTCCAGGTTCAAGTGATTCTCCTGCCTCAGCCTCCCAAGTAACTGGGATTAGAGGTATGTGCCACCACTACAAGCTACTTTTTTGTATTTAGTAGAGATGGGGTTTCACCATGTTTGTCAGATTGGTCTTGAACTCCTGACATCAAGTGATCCACCCACCTCAGCCTCCCAAAGTGCTCAGATTACAGGCATGCACCACTGCCCCTGGCCTGTTTTCATTTTATTAATTGGCTGATTCATTCAGACACATAAATATCAAGTCAAATCTCACTATTTCCTTAGCATTTATCTTCAGTTTAGCTTAGAAAATCTATTCCTATTTTAAAACATATACAGTTATTTCAGTGTGGTGGCACATGCCTGTAATCCCAGCTACTTGGAAGGCTGAGGCAGGAGTATCACTTGAACCTGGGAAACTGAGGTTGCAGTCAGTCAAAATCACCCCACTACACTCCAGCCTGGATGACAGAGTGAGACTCCATCTCAAAAAACAAAACAAAACAAGGTTTTCTCCAGATCATTTTTACATTTAATTATTCAGTCTGTTTTGACTATACCTTAATGTAAAGAATTCGGTAAATATAACTTCAATCCTACACACTATTAGTCAATGTACCTAACACGATTTATTGAATAAACCAGTCCATTCCCAACATTGTTCTACTAAAAATGCAAAAAATATTAGCCAGGCATGTGGCAGGCATCTGTAGTCCCAGTGACTTGGGAGGCTGAGGCAGGAGAATGGTGTGAACCCTGAAGGTGGAGCTTGCAGTGAGCCTAGATCACACCACTGCACTCCAGCCTGGGCAACAGAGCAAGACTCCGTCTCAAAAAAATAAAAAGTAATTATATTTCCCAACGTAAATGAATAGAGTCATTAAGGAAAATAACATGGAGATTCATCAGAAATTAAAAATAGAATTACTGTATGTTCCAGCAATCCCACCTGTGGGTGTATAGCTAAAGGAATTGAAATCAGCATATTGAAGAGACAATTGCACTACCATATTCACTGCAGCATTATCCATAATAGCTAAGATATGAAAGCAACCTAGGAGGTCAGCATTGGATGAATGGATAAAGAAAATGTGATTTTATATATATATATATCCATACACACACACACACACACACACACACACACACACAAAGGAATATTATTCTCTCTTTATTTTATTTATTTTATTTTATTTTGAGACGTAGTTTCGCTCTTGTTGCCCAGGCTGGAGTGCAATGGCGTGATCATGGCTCACTGCAACCTCCACTTCCCGGGCTCAAGCAATTCTCCTACCTCATCCTCCCCGGTAGCTGGGATTACAGGCATGCACCACCTAGCCTGGCTAATTTTGTATTTTTAGTAGAGATGGGGTTTCTCCATGTTGGTCAGGCTGGTCTCAAACTCCCAACCTCAGGTGATCCACCCACCTCAGCCTCCCAAAGTGCTAGGATTACAGGCATGAACCACCATGCTGGATCTTACTATTTACTCTTTTTTTTTTTCCTTTGAGATGGAATTTCCATCTTGTTGCCCAGGCTGCAGTGCAATGGTGCAATCTCAGCTCACTGCAACCTCCGCCTCCCGGGTTCAAACGATTCTCCTGTCTCAGCCTCCCAAGTAGAAGGGATTACAGGTGCCCACCACCACGCCCAACTAATTTTTGTATTTTTAGTAAAGAGGTGGTTTCACAATGTTGCTCAGGCTTGTCTCGAACTTCTGAGCTTGAGTGATCCACCCGTCTCAGCCTCCAAAAGTTCTGGAATTACAGGCGTGCACCACAGCACCCAGCCAAAAACACAGATTAGTGTATTAATAGTCTGAAGCACTGTAAAATACTGCTGAGAATACAGATCACTAATATCATCATCACAGAGCACAAAATAAGTTCTGGTATTATTAAGAATACCATAGCTCTGACTAAAACATACATGGAAAACACATTCTATTAGAAATTAAATTATACTAATATTATTGACAATCAGTTTTATAGCTGTCACTGTAAACTCAAAGACAAGAAATAAATTCATCACCAGAAAACATAAAACAAGTACTTAGCCTTACTGCTGAGAAGCCCGTAGTTGCCTTTTACTGAACGACACCTCAGTTCTTGGGATAAAGTTTGAAACAGCAACTGGAAGGACAGCTTTAACTTTAAAATGGTTTTATTTTTAGGGTTGTCATATTATAAAAGCTATTCTCACATAGCTAAGCTGTTGGAAAGAGACCAGGTTTTGTGAAGGTTTTTCATCAGGTGTTTCATGTTGTCCTCACTGCAACCTCAAACAATGGCAAATGCTTCGTAAGCCACTGTAATGCTAAATCAGCTGATAAATTAATAAAATTCTGTTTCTTTAGGCTGGGCGCAGTGGCTCACACCTGTAATCCCAGCATTTTGGGAGGCCAAGGCGGGCAGATCACGAGGTCAGGAGATTGAGACCATCGTGGCTAACACGGTGAAAACCCATCTCTACTAAAAATCCAAAACATTATCTGGGCGTGGTGGCACGCATCTGTAATCCCAGCTACTTGGGAGGCTGAGGCAGGAGAATCCCTTGAGCCTGGGAGGCGGAGCTTGCAGTGAGCTGAGATTGAGCAACTGCACTCCAGCCTGGGTGACAGAGAGAGACTCCATCTCAAAATAATAATAATAATAGTGAATAAATAAATAAAATAAAAAATAAAAAGATGGAAGAAACTCAGACTTTCAAAAATTAAGGATCCCATTTTTACCTAAGATATTGGCTTTACTCTTAGGTTCCCTTGATTGACTTAGCCAATAATTTTTTTCTACCTAAGTACACAAGAAAAATGAAATGAAGGGGTAGAACTCAAGAATCCCTGTACATTTCTAAAAGCCAAATTTTACAACCACTGCAATATTACCATTTACTAACATTTTCTTTCTGTTTCAGCCTAAGGTAAGAGGCCTCTAACTGGGAAAGGCATGGTGGCTCACGTCTATAATACCAGCAATTCGGGAGGCCTAGGTGGGTAGATCACTTGAGGTCAGGAGTTCAAGACGAGCCTGGCCAACATGGTGAAACCACGTTTCAACTAAAAATACAAAAATTAGCTGGGTATGGTGGTGGGTACCTGTAATCCCAGCTCCTCGGGAGGCTGAGGCAGGAGAATTTCTTGAACCCAGGAGGCAGAGGTTGCAGTGAGCCTAGATCACGCCCCTCTACTCCAGCCTGGGTGACAGAGCAAGACTCCATCTCAAAAACAAAAACAAAAACAAAAAAAAAACACAGAGAGAGAGAGGCCTCCAGCAGTATCCAAGTCAGTTAATTACCAGATCAAATCTGGTCCTGGACCTAGTTCAGTTTCTGTCCTGACTTTCAAACTGTTTGGATCACAAATTTGTTCAGAGAAACTCAGAGAATTCCAAACATAAATCTATGGAGTTCTGAAATCTGAGAGAACTTACCCATGATCCCCAGCCACTTTGAGAGATCAAAGGACAAAAGTAGGTCCTTGCAGGTACCTTGCTTGTTCACTCAGCACTCTTGGGGATTGTTAAGGCTCTACTTCAGATCCCACTTCTGACACCATCTGTTAAAAGAAAAACTTCAGCTGAATTAAATTTAAAGAAATTCAATTCAGCGATCAACAATTCATGAATAGGGCAGTCCCTGGAATCACAGCAGATTCAGAGAGATTTCAGCACAGCCACGTGGTGAAAGATTTATAGACATAAAAAGGGAAATGAGGTACAGAAATTGGAGGTGAGGTTCAGAAACAACTGAATTGGTTACAGCTTAGCATTTGCCTTAGTTGAACACAGTTTGAACACTCAGTAGTGTAAGAGTGGTAGAAGTATGGCTGCTGGGATTGGCCAACACTCAGCTATTGTTACAAGTGCATACTCCTAAGTTAGATTTTTCAATCTTGCCTACCTAGTAAGTTAGGTTGCAGTTTGTACACAAAGATTCAAATATAGAAGTATGGAGTCCTTCTCAGGCCATATTTAGTGTGTTTTAACACTCTAAAATGTATAAAATCAACCTGAACCCCAACCACCTTGGGAATATTTTCTCAGGGTCTCCTGAGCAGGGCTGTGTCACAGGCCATGGTCACTCATATTTTGCTCAGAATAAATCTCTTCAAATATCTTACAGAGTTTGACTCTTTTACTCAACACTGTTCAGTAACAAAAGAGAACAAACTATCAGGACACACAGCAACAGACAAATTTCAAAAACTTTACACTGAGTGCCAGAAGCTAGACCCAAAGATTACATGTGCTATGGTTTCATTTATATGAAACTCAAGAACTGGCAGAACTAACTTATGGTGATAGAAACCAAATCACCAGTTGCCTTATGTTGCAGCAATACTGACTGGAAAGGGGCATGAGAGAAGTTTATGAGGTGAAAGAAATCTTTTGTGTTCAGATTAAGATGTGTGTCACATGGGTTTATACCTTTAATATGTGTATATTTCACTCTATACATTTAATTCCTCATAAAATAAAATAAAACTGAAGAGAAGTAAATAAGAGTACAATGTCTTTATGCTACTCCAAAGAGAAGGTTTGCCTCCAAAAGAGAAGCCCAAGAAGTTTGCTTTGAGCTATAACAAAAATAAGGTTTCTGAAGAAAGAAATCAGACAAAAAGTGGTTTCTCTAGGAATTAAAAAAGAAGCAGAAATAGATAAAGAAAAATTGTTCTTGTCAATTTAGTGCATAGCAACGTATTATTGTTTTTAGTGCTGGGTCTCTTTTCCCCTAAAACCTGGATATGCTGTATTCTTTAAGCCAATTTCAAGAAATAAGTGAAAAATCTCATAGGAAAAAAGAAAGGAAAATCGCTCTTTGAATATACACTAAAACCTGAATGTACAAATGGTACCTATCAGTGTACTAGGGAAAATGTACAATACACTTAAGTTGTTTAACTTGAATAGAATATAATAAAAGAGCAATTAAAAAGCTGTGGATAGTGTATAGATAAACCAAAAGGGATAATTCTGTATGTACCCTGCAACTGTTACCTTCTCTAGGTCTGAAGGGATGAAGGGCAGTATTAGTTATTGAAACTTGGAGACAAAAAGGGCGTGTGGAGATAACCACCTTCAAGACAGTGATCCAGGACATTGGTGAGAGATAAAAGCATATGGCTTAGAGAAGGAAGTTCTAGAAAGATTATCAGTGGAGACAAGACAAGTCAGTGGGGAAGGAAAATGGTGAAAACAAAGAGCAGGGAAGAGGACAATAGTATGTATGATGAGTCCAATCAGGCACTGGGGAAAGGGAAGTGGGTGTGATTTTGTTTTATTTAACAACAAAATAGAGAAATGAAAGGCAATGAAGTGCACATGAATAAGCTGGTTTCTACTGTGTGCAACTAGGGTTCAGTCATGCTGGAGACTGTGAAAGATGTCAAACACACCTTTATAATTGGCCACCTGAGGAATGAAGGAGCCATGTACATAGTAATTTTCTGATTTTATCTATGGACTAAAGGTTGTATTAATAGCAAAACCCACAGTTAATTTTGCACCATCCTAATACCTTGAGCCATTAACTTCCTGGCATTTCTTGTGTGCTAGGAAGAATACTCAGAGAATGGCCTCAGGCTGAGAGATGTTGAGATACAAAGCTCTTTAGAATATATGAGAACCATCAACTGAAGTTGCAGGTGATTTCCAGAGCAGCCTTTAGAGATAGGAGTGAAGAATGCATAGCTTCTGTTACAGGTAGTAATCAAGATACACAAACTCTTCTGTGGATTTCTAAGGTGTGGGAGTTGACAACTTCTGAAAGCAAAGAAAAATGGCATAAAAATAAAATAGAATGTGATAAGGAATGACTAGAGGATAGGCTGTAAGAAAGAAGGAGAAAGAGGAAAGGTCAGTTTAGGTTCAGTTATTTAAGAAAATCTCTTTGAGGAGTAGGAATTTGAAACCAGTTCTGCAGAAACTTGGGGGTAGAACATTACAAACAGAGTAAAATAGAAGAACAAAGACTCAGAGGCAGGCTCAATCTTGACAATAGGCTCAACAATCAGACAAAAAAAAAAGCAGAATAATGAGGAGATACAGAGTGATAGGAGATGAAATGGGAGAGGGGTTCAGATTACATGAATTTTATAGGACTTGGTGATTTAGATTTTATTCTAGTATGTTGAGAATCCACAGATCATTTTAAGCAAAAAAAAATGGCATGATCTCATTTATATTTTAAAACTCAGTTGGCTTTCTCTGTATAATATGGATTTTTATGGGGCAAGAAGGAAGGGAGTTGTTACAGGTACATGAGAGGAAAGATGATGTTTGCTTGACTAGGTCGGTAGCAATAGAGGTGGGAAGAAGCAAGCAGATCAGACTCACTTTTGGATCTTTAGTTCACTTAAAGTATTGATACATTGGCGCATAAAAGATAAATATTTTATTTTTCATCCCTAAAAGGCAGAAAAATATAGGGGCAAAAAATGGAATGTTGGAAGTTTAGGAAATGTGGTTTTTGACTTGACCTTAAAATGTTCCAGCTGTATATGATCTTAGGGCAATCATACAGCTGTTTGGCTGCGGCTTCTTCATTTCTGAAATGGCATTAATAATAACATTCCTATAGCTGAGGTGTTAAAGATTAAAACTATAGAGGTAAAGCAGTCTTGAAAATTTCAATGTAATACCTAAATGTAAGGTATTATAGTGATGCCCTAAGTTGCTTTTAAAAAATGCTATGTTATTACATGCTACTCTTTGATAACCTTTTATTTATGATAATTAATGTAATTAGTGTGCTAATTTTCTACAGTTGCACCCTGGGGCAATCATGTAACAGTTGTAACTTTAAAAGTTGGGCAAATAAGTAAATGTCAATCTGTAAGCAAATCCAAATGAGTCTGTGATGAATGTTGATGGTGACTGGTAATTTACCTGATAAAATATTGTAACTGCCCAGTTACCTTGGAATAGCTGATTTCTCAAAGTAATTACCATATTCTGCATAGTGAAGTGTCATCAGAGAAAATTTTAACACACAGTGATCATTTTTAACTTGGTGATTTAAATATCATATTGATTAATGAAATAGTATTTTAATTCAGACTGTTAAGTCAAAAGAGAGAGTTGTTCATCACATACTGTAGACTGCACTGTTGTGTAATAATCACTTATTTCTTACCTGTTTTTAACTACCATTTAAAAAATATTCCTTCTAATAAAGATAAAATCTTATTGGATTAAAAATTAAAAAGCAATTGGACCCAGTCTCCTACCTAGAACCTTATTGCTGTTAAGTCTAGGACATCTTTAAGAAGCCATCTTTACATTGCTGTTTTCTGAGAGTCGTATGTTATGATTTCATTAGATCTGCAAACAAACAACAGAAGCATACTACTGGTATGGTATTCTAACATTTGCCATGATATTGTTCATCAAATTGTTAACTTTTTGTTAACTGTGTGTTGGTTTGTTTGCTTTGCTTTCCAAGAACATGTTTCACAGATACTATTAGTTCAAGAAAGCTGGGGAAAAGGAAAAAAAAAAAAAGGTTAAGATCCTGACTATAGAATGAATTAGAGAAAGCCAAAGTAATTGCCTGGAAAAGATATGTGGGAGGTTGGGTCAAGTTTAAAGGTTCAGAAGTAGACTTTGAGATAAGCATTTTTCTGGATATTTGGAATTATCTCCTAAAGATATTATTCTTTGACATATGACCAAAAACATACAGCCAAAGATCAGTTTTGCTTCGGCAAATCCAGTCCAAGAAAATAAGTTATCTAAAGGCTCAGAAGTGCTTTGTCCTAGTTCTTTCTCAGGATTCTTAATCAATAATCACAACTCTGTACCAATTATTGGTAAGTAATATATATAGATTATCAGAGACTGCAGTTTCTGAGAGTGTGTCTGAATTAACCCTTTCAGTGTTTTGTGAACTTCAGTTGTAAAATATTAGCAGAATATAAAATAATTTTAAATCTTTAAAATTTTAAAGTAGGGAAACATTGAGCAAACACTTCACCAAAGAAGATATGCAAGTGGCCAGTAAGCATATGAAATGATCAACATTGTTATTCACTGGAAAAATGTAAATTAAATCCACAATGAGATGCCCCTACACATATAACTAAATTGGCTAAAATTTAAAAATTATAGACAACTGAATGTATCAAGTGATAGTGAGGATGTGGACCACAAAACTCTCAGTTTGCTAGTGGGGATGCAAAATGATACAGCAACTTTGGAAAACAGTTTGGCAGTTTCTTATCATTTTAAATATTCTCTTACATACAACCCAGAAAGTCCTCTGTTAAGAATTTACCCCCAAAAAATGGAGCAAGGGAAGTTCATGTAAATCCCTATATGCAAATTATTCACAATACCTTAAACCTAGAAACAACTCAAATGTACATCAATCAGCAAGTGATAAACAAAGTTTTCTATATAGAGATAGGAGGTTAATATTAGCAATTTAAAAAGAAGAAACAAAATCAATGAAAGAACATAATTTTGCAAAAGACATGAAAGGCAATACACTGTTTAATTCCATTTATGTGATATTCTGGTAAAGGCAAAAGTATAGAGACAAATCAGATCAGTGGTTGCCAGGGTATATAAGTAGGGGTTGGAGACTTAATACAAAGGAAATGGAATTTATGGGGGTGATGGGAGTATTCTGTATATCGATTGCAGTGGTAGTTGTATGATTATATACATTAATCAATAATCATCAAACTGTATATCTAAGAAGGGTAAATTCTAATGAATGTAATTTATCAATAATCATCAAACTGGATGTCTAAGAAGAGTAAATTCTAATGAATGTAAATTATACATCAATACATGTGATTTTTTTAAATTTATTTAAGGATATTATGAACAAATTTTGGCAACAATTTGAAAATTTAGAAAAAAATGGACAGATTCTAAGAAAAATACTACTTACTAAAGCAGACACTGGAAAAAAACAAAATATGAGTAATCTGATTAACATTAATAAAATTAAATATTTAACATATTCAGTTTTGGAATAGTCCATGCCAGGATTTGCCTGCAAGTTCTTCTAAAGGTTTAATAATGGAATAGTAATTCTTTTATAACACTTAGAGTTCTATAACATTTAGTTTCTGTAATTGCAGAAACCCTTCCCAACACATTTTATGACGGCCACATTATCTTGATAAGAAATCTTACAGGGCAGTACATGAAAGAAAAACACAATCCAGGTTCCATACACAAATTGAAGTAAAAATCTTATGCAAATATTTTTTAAACAAATTCAGTAGCATATTTTAAAAGTTTAATGTAGACTAACAAACTTCCTTTAATTCCCGAAATGTAAGGATGTTTTAACATTAAAAAATCAATGATGAGTAAACTTTTTTGATTTTGATAATTATACTTTGGTTATAGGGAGATGTCCTTTTTTTAGAAGGTCAAATTGATTCATTTGGGGGTATGTATGAGTCCGTTTTCATGCTGCTGATAAAGATAAACCCAAGACTAGGCAATTTACAAAAGAAAAGATGTTTAATAGACTCACAGTTCCATGTGGCTAGGGAAGCCTCACAATCACTGCAGAAGGTGAAAGCCATGTCTCGCATGGTGGCAGACAAGAGAAGAGAGCTTGTGCAGGGAAATTCCCCTGTACAAAATCATCAGATCTTTTCAGACTTCTTTGCTATCATGAGAATAGCAGGGGAAAGACGTGCACCCATGATTCAATTACCTCCTACTGGGTCCCTCCCATACATGTGGGAATTCAAGATTAGATGTGGGTTTGGACACAGCCAAATCCTAACAGGGTAGAAGGGCAAATTTGACATATTAGTCTTAAATAATTTAAAAAAGAGAATAATAAGAGAGGAGGAAAAATCATAAATAAATGGAGCAAAACATAAACAACTGGTGAATCTGAAAATCTTAGTAAAATATTTTGTGGTTTCTTATACTTTTCTTGCAACTTTTGTGTTTGAAAGGTTATCCTCCTTCTGCTCAAATTTGCCAAAAACATTTAAAAGTCTGTTAGTGCAATGTACTACTGAATAAAAAGAAAAATCAGATGATTGTCTAAAATCTCTGATAATAGTATTTTTTAGAATTGAAAACCTCAGCAAACTGTAGCATTTTAATTGATAAACATAATCTTCAAAAAAAAAAGAAAAAAATCTGCAGCAAAATCCTTCATAATGTGAAATGTTAAACATCTTGTCTGCAAGATAAAATATGAGGATAGATTACTTATTCTCATTACTCCATCCCACTTTATTCTAATCCATTCATAGCCAGTGCGAGACGGCATGGAGTAAAGACTAAAGACCAGAAAGGTAAAATGCCACTCCCATTTTCACACTATACATTTGTGTTTATGAAATGTCAAAGATAATTTTCTACTTAATTATTAGAATTAATATCACAGTTTTGTGTGGTTTCTAAGATCAATATTTTAAAAAGTGCATTTCTTTGTACAATAAATAGAAGATTAAAATATAAAAAAGACACCCCTTTGAACAGCATCAAAACATCAAATACTTGAGATAAATTTAATCAAATATATGCAAAATCTCTACAGAACTATATAACTTTATTGGGTAATATTGAATGAAACCTAAATAAATCAAGAGCTAGAATGTGTTCATAAATTTAAAACTTAAATTTATAAAGATGTCCATTTTCCTAAATTCATCTGTTGATTACAGTATCAATCATAGTTCCAAGAGGCTTCTTTATCTTCAAAAATTGACATGTGAATCCTAGAATTTAGATGACAATGCAAAAGGCTAAGAACAGCTAACATCTCAAAAATGAACAAAGTACTTACAGTCCCAGATATCAAGGCTATAATATAAACCATAGTAATGAAGAAAGGTAAATATCACAAGCATAGATAGACCAATATAAGAGTATAGAATCTTGTATCGGTATGGAAAAAGAAATCCAGATTTTTACCTCCCTTCCTTCACAAAACCATTTCATTCATGTAGATCTAAATGGGAATGGAAAAGCAATAATCGTATAAGATAATAAAGAATATCTTCAGGGCCTGGGAAGGCAAAGATTTCTTAAGCAGGATATGAAAAACATTAATGATTTGAACTGTATTAAAATTAAAAAGTGTTTTCGTCTCTAAAAAGGCACCAATAAGAGAGCAAAAGCAAGTGAAACTAGATTATTTGTGGTTTATATAATTGACAAATGGCTTATATGCAGAATACATAAAAATTCGAACAATAAGAAGAGAGACCACCCAATAGGAAAATGGGCGATATTTTGAAAAAGCAGTTTACAAAAGAGATTATACAAATATCTAATAAACGTTTTAAAAGACGTCCAATTTCACTTGTCCTTAAATAACAATTAAGTCCATTGGGAGAAATACTATACATTTACCAGAAAAGTTAAAAGATAGAAAATAATTTAAAGTGTTGATGTGGTTTTGAAGCAACTGGAAATCTCTTATGCTATCAGGATGAATTTTGAACAACCACTTTGGAAACAGGTTTCATATTATCCACAACATTTGAATACATGCATCCTGTATGATCCAATAATTTCATTTCTGGGTATGCATTCAACAGAACTGTATGCATATATGCAGTAATAGAAGCTTATAACAATGTTCACAAATGGATCACTTAGCCACAGAAGGAAAGCAATGTCTAGCAAGACAGGAAAGAATAAATAGTGGTGGATGAATAGATTGCACCACTTTACATCTATCAAAATGAATATGATTAAGATACACACAATAACATCTGTGAATCTTGATCATAATTTTGAGCAAGAGGAACAAATACAAACACATTCTGTATTAGTCTATTTATAGGGGGTAAATTATTCTTTGTCATTTGACATCAGAACAGTGGTTACATTTTGGGAGAAGAGAGAGGGAAATAATATGGTTAGGGCATGAGGAGCCTCCTATGTGTCCTTTGAGTGTTTCTTGAACCAGGTTGATAGTTTCATGGGTGTGTTCACTCTGAACTAATTCCTTGAGCTATACAGTTATGATTTGCACAATTCAATTATATTATATTTCAGTGGAAGCTAATGAAAGAGAAACATTGCTGCTAAAATTCATTAAGTGAAGGCTTATGGGGAAGTAGACCTTCATAGCATCCTATACTTGCAAAAGTGGCAATCTAACTGAAGGATGACATCAGTATCAGATATCAGATATCACACAAACCAATGATCACTCTTACTGTCTCAACTGTGGGTCAACCTGACATTACAAATTTTCTGATGTAGTACAACATGAGGTACAAAATTTCACCTGTGATTTATTCTAGTCAAGCGTGTTTAACTGGCAGCCATTAAGGCATCAGATGTAAATTTAGACACAGAAAGCAATCAAGCAAAGCCTTAAGGTATGCCATTTTGTAGGTCAATTGGCCTCTTTCCTTCAACAAGTCAGTACCATTTAAAAAGAGGGGGTAATTCTAAATGTAAAAAAAAATTAAGGGGTGGACAATTAGATATAATGTGCAGGACTGCACTGAGACTGGTTTAAATAAATCAGCCCTAAAGAAAAATATTTAATTAATTAAAGACATCTAAATACAGCATGGATATTATATATAATGAAAATGCATGAAAATAAAAATGTGAAAATTATTGACTGAAAAAGAGGTTACAAAATGTATATTTGATGAAAAATAATATGTAAGGCTAGAGGCAAAGGTACTAACAATGGTGGTTTCTTGTTTATAGGACTATTTCAACACATTTTGCTCCTCTCCATTTAAAAATTTTTCTCTGATGCACATATACTGTTTCTGTAATAATAAAGTTATGTTTAAATGATTCAACATTTCTGAATAGCAAATTACTGTATATGTATATTTTAAAACAGACAATTTATAGGGCTATACCCAACTTGTGGCTGTGCACTGTCTGTCCAGTTACTACACATGTACTTCTTACCTTCCTTTTAATATCTAATTATAAAATTCTGAACTCATTGAAGGCTATTAGAACAGCTACAATTGTTTATGCTTCTTCTAAGTTTGATATTTGTATGGTATTTTTAAAATTATATATTATGAACTTTTTGTACATATTTGAGTATTTTGATATTTTACCTATAAAAAAGTACAATGTTTACTGAAAAAATAATAGAATAATTATTTTTAAAAATGTAGAAATTAACAATTGCAGGCAATATCACTTCCCAGAAATAATTTCCAGTTTTATTACATTGTCATCACGGACTAAATTATACACTATTTTTCCTTTTTGGAATATGCTAAGGTTTTCATTGAGGCCCAATACTTTTGTCCACTTTGGCTATTATTCCATGAGTATTTGAATAAATATACACATATTAGTTATCCTCCATTAATTGTTTATGTCTCCTAAATCTCACTTATGTTTTTTCACTTGATCTTCCATCAGCTGAAAAAATGGCATTATAAATTGTATTTTAAAAAATGCTTCTGAAGTTTTTGCTTTCTGAATTTTGCATACATATTTAATAAATATTTATGACAGTTACTTATTTATAGTGACCTTTTTATTGATACAAAGAGCCTTTGTCCTACTTCATATTTTTTACCAACCATGAATAAAACCTATTTGTTCTAAATATTGTGATCTTTGCTTTTTTTTATATCCATTTGCCTGTAATTCTTTTGCCCAAAGCTTCACTTTCAAACATTTGAGTTAATTTTTATTAGAGTTGCTGCTTGTATGCAATAAATCATTGGCTTTGTTACTGAATGTAATCCTGGAAGGAATCATGATTCCTCTCAGAGTTTCCACTGTCAAGAACCTAAAGAGTCAGTTTATGGAGATGAAGCAAGGGTTAAAAAAATAAGAGAGAAAGAGAGATGCAGAGGAACAAAGACACCAACCACAGGAAGCCATAAAGGGACAAGAGAAAAGATAGCATTACCAGAGCTAAGTGAGTTCTGGAGCTGCAAGGAAAGGTCACATAGCAGGAGTTCTAGTTATGGAGAGATTCAGCCCCTGGCAGAAGCACAGAACCAAAGCAGAGGGAATCAGAGAAGAAATAACCCATTCTCCTCTCCACCTAACTTGAACCCTACAGGGGCCTCCCACTGAGTGCCTTCTGCTGAAATTCAGGCCACAAAGGAATCTGGATGATGTTGACTGCATGACTCTGCATCCATGAGCACAGAGCAAGTTAGACAAGGGGAGAAAATAAATCCATGAAGTCAATAGAAACTTACCAGAACATTACTCCGACTTCGCATTCATTCTTGCCTCTTGCTTAGATTAAGAAAATTGGATCTCCAGTACAGGGATACCGCAGTCTTAGCATAATTTAAATTGTGGCAGGGTGTCAGCAATTCAGTCTTACTCCCAACTGGATTATAAATTTTAATGTCACCCATTATCAGTACTCTTTATATGAGATAGCAAGGAGAGTGAGGGGAAAGAAATATTCAGTTAACATAAATATGTAAATTAGCTACTACTGTTCTCACTTTTGGTCACGAGGCTAAATTTTATCATCATAATTTCCTTTTTCTATTATCCATTCCATTTTCAAGCAAACTTTACTACTTCCATAGTACAGGAATTATTGTCTCATGGGATGACCCAAATCTTCATTTCATAGGATCAAAGTCCCTAGTGATACTGTCTTTATTTGGTGGCTCTTTATGGGACATATAAGTGCTAAAAGGCTCCACAGCAGATCTCCTGGATTCCAACTAGGCCTACTTGCCTAATTTTCCTTTGTTAATCAGAATTAATCAATCCATTCAGTATAGTTAAACTCTTTATTGCCAGTTATGTCAATGGCATTAAGAGCTAAAAATAGCAAGGGTGCAATTTCAGGTCCAAATTTAATGGAAACATAGCCATATTTCTAGAAATAAATGTTCCTTCCTTGGAAAAGAGAACCTCCAAAGCTACTAAATACGAGTTTCCAGGAAGGGAAATAAAATTCTGTAAATAGAATATTAGGTAAAATAATTCTACTTCTTATTTCCTGATCCTACGTGTTCTGGCTTTTGGAAATATGGCTTATGTATTGGCTAATAGTTTAATCTGTTAGGCCAGCACCACAATTTCAAACAATATTGTGTCACATCTGGCATTGAAACTGAGCCTTTAGGAAGCCATTCCATCATTCTATCAGGCTAGCTGCTTACTGGTGATGGGACATGTGGGGAAACATGAATTTCATGGGCATGGATCTTTTGTAACAATTGTTTTGCTATAAAATGAGTTTCTTTGTCAAAGGCAATGTAGTATGGGATGTTATGGCAATGAATAAGGCATTCTATAAGGTGACATATGGTGACACTGGTAGAAGCATAGAGGGCAGAGAAGAGAAGCCCATTTCTAGAATGTGTATTTGGTTTTATGTGGACAAATGGTTGCTTACTCCACAATATAAAGGATTCAGTGTAATCACCCTGGCACCAGGTGCCTGGTCGGTGTCCTTATGAAATGGTGCCATATCAGGAACACATTGGCCCTTGGTATTGACAAGTTGGACACTCAGTGATAGTAGACAGATCAGGGTTGCTAAAGGGTAGTCCATTGTGTTGAGTTCAAGCATATTTACCATCCATGCAACTATGATTATTTTTTGCATGGTTCCACTAAGTAAGCACCAGTATCACTGGGAGAAAGCTTGATAGACATCCACAGGAAAGATCAGACACCTAATCTACCTGATTGTTGAGCACCTTCTCTTTAGGGGGTTCCCCTGTTGAATATGAATGAGAATTGAGGAAAATTTGATAACTAAGCAGGAATAGCTAATAAAGGTCTGAACCACCTGCTCATTCAATATACTTGTGACTCCCCTTCCTGTTCAGCCTTAATGTCACCCATATCAATTCCATCTTATAATAACCTGCTAATTTTCAAGCACAGTTTTAAGATTTGATAACTTGGATAGCAACCAGTTGATGGTGAACACTTCAAATCACATAGATACATGGTGACAAGCCTGACTTCTTAAATAGATAAAAAATGTTTGGTGGAAGGGGACACAGTTTTGTTCCAAAATCATTAGTTAAGTGAACTGTGATTGTCTTCTTGGGGTTACTTAGAAGCTTCAAACAGCATTACTCTAAGCCAGATACTTAGATCTATGGAGTCAAAATATCCACGCAGTAGAGGAGCCTACAGCACAGACTGAACCTGCTGCAAAGAGCTCTTTTTTCTAAATGGGTAGACTTGTGAGTTAGACTGTAATAGGTTTGAATACACACAACTGTAGTCATGTTACTTCCAAAATCCAGAGAAACCTCTCAGTCACTCTGCTTTTTCTGTGTGGTAGGCAGTACAAGGTATAGCTACCTGTTATTCCCTAAGAAAGAGATATTTTTACATACCCCATTTTGTAATAGCTTCTACATTAATTAAGACCCTTGTATAAAACAGAAATCTGCTTCAGGCTTGGTATTGTGGCTCACACCTGTAATCCCAGCATTTTGGGAGGCCAAGGTGGGAGATCGCTTGAGCCTAGGAGTTTGAGACCATCCTGGGCAACATAGGAGACCCCATCACTACTATTAAAAAAGAAAGAATGAAAAGAAAAAGAAATCTGCTTCAATGGTCCACAATAGAGACTTTGGTGAATGGACTACTTACCTCAGTTAGAGCAGGATTTAAAACCCCAGCAAAGGTTGCTGTAATACTCAGACACCAGAAACAGTGAAACGCTGTTACCGTCCCTAGACCTGAAGGGACAAGGTGTATAATTTGCATTATTGAAGCCTAGGATGAGCTGGTGCTGTGGAGAAGAGTTATCTGGTAGAAACTACATTCATGAAGAATTAGGAAGAAAGCAGGGAATAGATATCAGGATTTCTCTCTCTCCTGCCATCTGACCCACTGCCAGTGCCTTACATTAATCCAATTCAACTAGGAGCTAGCTGGCAGAGGAACCTGAATGATAAAGTCTTAGGGGTTCATCTCCTGGAGCACAGAACAGAATACTGAAAGTCAGATAAAGGATTTGGGTGGAGCTAACAGAATCATCAACACATTTTTTCTTGTCCAATATAAGTCTTTCGCTTTAATTATTAATTTTATTTCATTACATATAACAGTGAAGATATGTTTAGTTTGAGTTTTGTCATCTTATGTAATGCTCTCTACTTTGAATGATTTCTTTTTTTCACATTTTCCTATAATATGTTCTTTGTGTGTATGTTTGC
The DNA here is from genome assembly GCF_000001405.40 of Homo sapiens. Classification (NCBI taxonomy): domain Eukaryota; kingdom Metazoa; phylum Chordata; class Mammalia; order Primates; family Hominidae; genus Homo; species Homo sapiens. The sequence goes on along the minus strand of NC_000012.12, from coordinate 37,498,927 downwards.
ATTTGCCTTCCATAAGATTTTGTGTGTATGTTTGTGTAGGTGTATCAGTTATGATGATACACAGCAGAAAAAAGTATTTTAAAATCTGCAAATGTATATAAAGTAGAGATGCACCAAATAAATATTTGGCCGAACACTGAAAGTCTGAGTATCAACGTCATTATTGACTGAAGCTGAATATTACTATCGTAGAATGAATCGAAAGTCTTATGAAATTCAATTTGGATTGCAATATTTGTTACTGAAATTTCAGTAATCAAAAATTTAAAGCTTGACGTTATTCAAGGACAGTAATTTCTTGGCATTGTCAGCTGCAAGATTGTTCCTGTGATCATCATAGCATGGGCAGATGCTAATTTGTCTACCTTCTTATATCAAACATAGGAGGAAGTTCCCACCAAATTATTACACTTTCTTCCTCTCTAACATTAAAAAATAAAGTATATATATGGAGATTGTGGATCCTGAAAATGTAGTTGATGGTGACGATGCAGCTTCATTGAAGTAATCCCTCAGCAACTGCAGCTTTGCACACTGACTACTTCTAGAAGCAGAATTAGAATTGATGACTTGAAATACATATTTTTATCCTTCTATATTCCTGTACTTGTTCTATAATCACTTGAGAATATCTCTCTATAAACCTTAACTTTTAAATGTGGCAATGGAAAAGTGAAAATAACTTTTAAGATAAAACAATTGTCTCTGAATTTTCAGCTGCATCTAAGCTTTCATGATGCAAGCTAATTTCAGTACGTTCTCCAGTTTACGATGACAGGAAGAGCTTAACCACAGGTATTCTATAAGAAATATGTGCACTCTAATGGCATATTGTATGGTGATTTCCTCAACAAATTATAGCAAACGAACTAATTTCTCTTTAAGCAACCACCGGATCTTAATAAGTCCTGAGATGGAAGTTGTGCCATTAAGGTTTGTTCAAGCAGCTACTTTAATATGTGACCACTGCCAATTTACATTGTATAGGTTCATAACAAAGCAGTTCCAAAATTGTATGCCTGTCATGTAGTATATCTTTAGCTGAAGATTTTAAGATTTCACCAAGGTTAATTAACCCTTGAAAGTAAATACTCACATATTAAAAATAAATCTAAAGAATCATGAGGTCATTGATACCATATAAGCTTAGAGATGCCAGAAATGTGGATGGATTACATCAGTTTTCTAATCTGAACTCCCAAAATATGAGGCAAAACTAAAGGTGAATGGAGAGTTGGGCTAATCCAGAGGGTAAACATGCACACATGTGAGTGCAAGTGTTTGCTTGCATGAGATATGTACCCTCTGTGGCCCTGAGAAAGTAGTGGCAGATATAGACTTCTCAGGGACACCTGGGCACTGCCCCTGCCTTTACACATTTGTCAGGTATATTGGCTCATGGGCTTATTCTCTTTATCAGAGAAAGATTACAGGTTTCTCGTATAGACACCAAAAGATCAGGTGATATATTATTGAAAGTTCACTGCCTATTATAGTCTGAGCAATATAAAAAAATAACGGCATATGGATGGTCTGAAGGCAATATTAGTTTCTTCTACTAGGTAGGGAAGGAGGTGTCTTTCTCTTTTTGTGAATTTGGGCCTTTGTTGTAAATTGGGAGTTGACACATTTCTGAAACATAAGGGAAAACCACATCCAACCAGAACCTAACATTTTAATCCATCCAAGAGTTTACTTAATACACCCAATTAAAATATGGATTCTCTACAATACCTATTCATAATCTCTTTAGTCCATATTTTCTCCATTATGTCCAACTCCCACCATTCAGCTGTTGATTTATGGTGAGAGCTATTTTTAAGATTGTAGAATTAATTAATGAAAATAACTCTACCGACTCATAAAATTCATAATCACCTCTGCATTCCAGTGATCAGAAAAAATATGGGGCGTATTTCCAAATATAACTCCTTCACTGTCTCTTTTCAAAGGGCATAACACAGTGACAAAATTGAAGGAAGAGGGCAGATAATTTAAAAATATTATATAGGGGGCAACCTCTTGAAAAGGAAGTCTAATATCCTACAGGAAGGCTCTGGCCCTAGGTTTTCATCTGTAAATCATAGTTACTCTAACTCTTGTAGTTACTAGAGGGAAAATTTTCTTTATTCATGTTGCTGTGTTGTTCATCTTGGGAAGGGAAAGTAAGAGATTTGTAATAACACCTAAGATAATAATAGCCTCACAGATTACTATGATCATACAGGACAGTATGTTTCATAGTTTTAGATTTCCTTAAAAATCTTGTCCACAAACAGAAAATATTTGATGTAAAGATTAGAAACCAATCTAAGAAGAAGAGCAAAGAAAAGCAACTAATGATGCTTTCCTTGAAAGAAAGAGGACTTAAGGCAACATTAGTTGTTTTCAAATATTTGAGGGCTAGCCAATGAATGACCGAGGGGACAAATTTTATACAGCCATGAAGGGTGGAGAACGGAATGGTGGATACAAGTTTTAGGATGGCATATGTAAACTACTCTAAGGAATTAATAATTACTATGATACATGGATTGCTTTAAGGGATGGGGGACACAAACAGCAGGGTCAAAACAAAGTCTTATGGTTAGGAATACTGTAGAGAAAATACGGCCATTGAATGGGGAGTTAGACTAATTAAGCTGTATAGACATTTTCAATTGTGATTACAATTGAATGAGTTATATGAAATTGTATGAGATACTACTGATATTTAAGGATTATTGTATTATTTTCTTATTTGTCAGGCTAACAACAGTGAAGGCAATGCATGATAAATGTGCTATAGTGATGATTAGTAGATTTCGAGTTGGAAACACGGAGCTTGAACTCAGAATTCAGTTCTATCATGGACATTAGTAAACTAGAATAAATAAGTAACTTATATGAGACTCAATTCATTTATTAAACATAATGATAATTATACTATATACCTCACAAGATTATTATGTGAGTTAAATTAGGTAGCATGTATTCAGTACAATGAACCCTTAGAAATGGCCTAATATGTGCACTTGTAATTCTGACAAGCTGAGTCACAAAGAGAGGAAAGTGGCAGTTGCAGCCTAAAATTTTGCTAGGATTTTATGACACATACAGAGATAGCTATAATTCTACAGGGTAAATGCTCTAACAGAGGTGAATTTAAAATTATCTTATGAACAAATGAAGTTGGGAAAGGTTGATTTTGAAGATGAATTAGAAAAACATGCAAAAAAGAATTGCCATAAATCTTGTAAGACAAATAGTGTTTAGGAAGTATGTAAAAATATACCAGAAATAGTCAGCATGAGCAAATGCATAGATATTGAATAAAAATCTGCCTAAGCCCTCTCTCTGAAAAAAAATAAAATAAAATGTAAGCCCTTCATGGGTAACAACTAATAGTAAAAGCTGACTTGACTATGTATTTGAACACACTTGGTATGGTACATGGAAGATAGCAGGTACACAATATGTGCTTTTTTAAAAAAGAGTGCTTGACTTCTGGTTCTGGCCATAATAAAATAATGGATTTCAGACTGAATCTTCTGCTGTAAACAACTATAAAACTAGACAAAATATACCATGTGCCTATTTTAAAGCATTTTACAACACACAGCATAGAGTCGTGATCCTTGAAGTGAACTCCACATTTAAAGCTGGCCTTTTATACAGGGATACTTCCAAAACTACAGGAAAGAAAAGAGGAGCCCAAATAGATCGCAGCAATTTTTCTGAATGGAGAAACCGATTGTAGGTTGCAGCTGAGGTGGCTGGAATTTATGAAGAACATTCCAGAGAAGAAAGAGTCGAACTGAGAAAGAGATCTAAAAATCTACAAATGAGTCTTCTTGAATTTTTTGAGTGAACAACATATTATGCATGTGCAGAGTAAGATTTCACAAGGCCACACAGAGAACAGTTTCTAAGGGGCAATGAGCGGCATGAGGATTTCACTGGTTCAACAATGTTGAAAGCCATTAGAGTTTGAACTAGCCAAAGTGAAAAGACTCACTGAGCATCTCCCAGTGTTTAAATAAGAACTCAGGAAAGTCAGCTTCCAAAGTAGGGCTTATCTACTCCTATCAGAAGAAAAACTCTTAAATCAGCCTTAAAACCTTAAAAATAGGCACCAACTGGATCAAATTAATGTGCCAGTAAATTAACTGTCTGCTCAAAATAAAATTCAACACACTTCTACCAAAGACAGAAGTCTAGAATCTAAATAATACAGTATGAAAAATATCAAATATAAAATAAAAACAATTATTAAACATGCAAAAATAGCAGAAACCTATGAGAAAATTAGGAGAAAAATAAGCAATAGAAACAGACCTAAGATAGCCAGGATGTTGTTAAGAATAAAAACAAGCATTATTAAGCTGGTATTAAAATACGTCCAAGGATTTAGAGGAAAAGAAGGAAGAGAGTGGAGAGATGTAGAATATCAACACAGTAATACAATTCACAATTCTTAATTGTAGGCAGGACAAAAGGCATGCAATAGAAAAGGGTACAATTATAAAAAATACTTCTGACTTCTCATCAGAACAAATGTAAGCCAAATGAAAATCTAAAAATTATTTAAAGTATAGAGAAGAAATAATAAGTCACTTCAGAATTATATATCCAGTGAAAATAATCTTCAAAAGGCAAAATTAACACTTTAATAAGATTAAAATAATAGGTGAAAGAATTTGTTACCACCAGAAAAGCACTGCAAGAAATGTTAAAGCATGCTTTTCAATCACAAGAGTAGTGATAAAAAATGTAAACTCACATCTACCAAAGATGTGGAGTGCTACTGGGGCACAAGGACAGATAGGTTTTCCTTAAGGGAAAATGAAAACAACAAAGAATCTAAAGTTTCAACAGGAAAATACATAATTGTTATTATCCTGAGATGATAGTTTTAATATCCTGATTTAGTAATTGTCATATCTGATTATATTTGTCAGAAAAACTAACATATTCAAGATTTTTAACCCAAAAATATGAAGTCTTTTTATCATTTTATTGAGTCATGAGCTGCTATGGTTACCAAGAGAAAAGATTTTTGGAGCCCAAAGACTTCTAAGGCTTATTTTTCTCTCCATTTCTTACTTCTGTGCCTTTAAAGATATTATAAAGGAATTTAAGAGCACCGATTGTAGGGCAAAAGTGAAGAAAAAAATTAACTGTGGGTATGTTATGATAAATTGCTTCTATTAATTATGAAGCCAGGTATCTATAAGAATGTCCTTATCCAAACAACTGTATGTAGCATAAAAAATCCTGGAAAGGTGGCTTATCAACTTCAAAAAATTATCTCTGCAAATATTATATAATGGAATTTGTTTTCCAATATCTTATATAGCAATGTCATCAAGTTTATAAACTGGATAATCTGCTAATTATTTTATGAGAATGGAAGAAGTCACTTAAAGTAGCCATATTCAACTCTGAGTCTATATGTGCATATGCCCATCAAAATACAAGCAGGGCTCAATAGGTAGTTTATGTTTGTGGGCAGGTAATCTTAAAAAATATTTACCTAAAAATCAACAGCGCTTCATGCTAAAAACTCTCAATAAATTAGGTATTAATGGGATGTATCTCAAAATAATAAGAGCTATTTATGACAAACCCACACCCAATATCATACTGAATGGGCAAAAACTGGAAGCATTCCCTTTGAAAACTGGCACAAGACAGGGATGCCCTCTCTCACCTCTCCTTTTCAACATAGTGCTGGAAGTTCTGGCCAGGGCAATCAGGCAGGAGAAGGAAATAAAGGGTATTCAATTAGGAAAAGAGGAAGTCAAATTGTCCCTGTTTCCAGATGACATGATTGTATATCTAGAAAACCCCATCATCTCAGCCCAAAATCTCCTTAAGCTGATAAGCAACTTCAGCAAAGTCTCAGGATACAAAATCAATGTACAAAAATCACAAGCATTCTTATACACCAATAACAGACAGAGAGCCAAATCATGAGTGAACTCCCATTCACAATTGCTTCAAAGAAAATAAAATACCTAGGAATCCAACTTACAAGGGATGTGAAGGACCCTTCAAGGAGAACTATAAACCACTGCTTAATGAAATAAAAGAGGATACAAACAAATGGAAGAACATTCCATGCTCATGGGTAGGAAGAATCAATATCATGAAAATGTCCATACTGCCCAAGGTAATTCATAGATTCAATGCCATCCCCATCAAGCTACCAATGACTTTCTTCACAGAATTGGAAAAAACTACTTTAAAGTTCATATGGAACCAAAAAAGAGCCCACATTGCCAAGTCAATCCTAAGCCAAAAGAACAAAGCTGGAGGTATCATGCTACCCGACTTCAAACTATACTACAAGGCTACAGTAACCAAAACAGCATGGCACTGGTACCAAAACAGAGATATAGACCAATGGAACAGAACAGAGCCCTCAGAAATAATGCCACACATCTACAACTATCTGATCTTTGACAAATCTGACAAAAACAAGAAATGGGGAAAGGATTCCCTATTTAATAAATGGTGCTGGGAAAAGTGGCTAGCCATATGTAGAAAGCTGAAACTGGATACCTTCCTTACACCTTATACAAAAATTAATTCAAGATAGATTAAAGACTTAAATGTTAGACCTAAAACTGTAAAAACCCTAGAAGAAAACCTAGGCAATACCATTCAGGACATAGGCATGGGCAAGAACTTCATGTCTAAAACACCAAAAGCAATGGCAGCAAAAGCCAAAATTAACAAATGGCATCTAATTGAACAAAAGAGAGCTTCTGCACAGCAAAAGAAACTACCATCAGAGTGAACAGGCAACCTACAGAATGGGAAAAAACTTTTGCAACCTACTCATCTGTCAAAGGGCTAATATCCAGAATCTACAAAGAACTCAAACAAATTTACAAGAAAAAAAAAAAAAAAAAAACTAACAACCCCATCAACAAGTGGGCAAAGGATATGAACAGACACTACTCTAAAGAAGACATTTATGGAGCCAAAAGACACATGAAAAAATGCTAATCATCACTGGCCATCAGATAAATTCAAATCAAAACTACAATGAGATACAATCTCACACCAGTTAGAATGGTGATCATTAAAAAGTCATGCAACAACAGGTACTGGAGAGGATATGGAGAAATAGGAACACTTTTACACTGTTGGTGGGACTGTAAACCAGTTCAACCATTGTGGAAGTCAGTGTGGCGATTCCTCAGGGATCTAGAACAAGAAATACCATTTGACCCAGCCATCCCACTACTGGGTATATACCCAAAGGATTATAAATCATGCTGCTATAAAGACTCATGCACACGTATGTTTATTGCGGCACTATTCACAATAGCAAAGACTTGGAACCAACCCAAATGTCCAACAATGATAGACTGGATTAAGAAAATGTGGCACATATACACCATGGAATACTATGCAGCCATAAAAAATGATAAAATCATGTCCTTTGTAGGGACATGGATGAAGCTGGAAACCATCATTCTCAGCAAACTATCACAAGGATAAAAAACCAAACACCGTATCTTCTCACTCATAGGTGGGAATTGAACAATGAGAACACTTGGACACAGGAACGGGAACATCTCACACTGGGGCTTGTCGTGGGGTAGTGGGGAGGGGGGAGGGATAGCATTAGGAGGTATACCTAATGCAAATGATGTGTTAATGGGTGCAGCACACCAACATGGCACATGTATACATATGTAATAAACCTGCCCGTTGTGCACATGTACCCCAAAATTTAAATAAAAAATATATTTACCTAAAAATCAGTATGACTGCTTAAATAAATAAATTGCACATTATTCTAAGAATACATGATTATGAAATATTGTCAAGCCTAACAGAAATAAAGATAACAGTATAATTATTCTTGATAACCCCAAACTGAAGAGAACTCAAAGGCCCCTAAAATTGGAGAATGGATTGTAACAGCTGTGATATAGTCAAATAATTGAAAACTACTCAAAAGTACTACAAAAAAAAAACACCAAAAGTATGTATTGTATGATCACATCTATATAAAGTTGCAGAATGTGCAAGATCAATCTGTAGTGATAGAAATGAGAATAATGGCTGGAGGGTGATGCGAATTGATTGTTAAATGGCATGAGAAATTTCTGGGGTAATGTCAATGTTCTATGGGCTGTTGGGTGGCTCAATCATACATTTTTTATCAAAAGTCATTGAATAATGACTTAAAAATTGTGCATTTTCATCTTATCTAAAGTATATCACAATTAAAAACAAGGAAAAATACTATCAAAAAATATGGAAAAGTAAACTTTTGCATATTAGTCTCAGAAACCAATGATTTCTGATATTCTTTTTACTCTATCGATGTTTTTCATTTTGAATCATCTAGGTTTTTCTGTATTACTGTGCTTCAGCTCAGAGAGTGAATACTTAACAAAATGCAGAGTATGAGTTTCAGTGAAGTAATGGCCAAATTATAGGCCATAAACAGATTATTGTGAGATTAGTATTTGCGGTATGAACAGTAGCCTCCCAAAGATGTCCATATCGTCATTCCTGGAATCTGTGAATATGGCAAAATGGACTTTGTAGCTGTAACTAAGGTTACAAACCTTAAGATAGGGCAAGCATCTTTAAGTATCCAGGTGAACCCAATCTAATCATATGAACCTTTAAAAGCAGAGAACATTCTTTAGCTGGATAAAGAGAGGCTTGGTAGAGGGAGAAATTAGAAAGATTCTGCCTGAGAAGGTTCAGAGGCATCATTGCTGGTTTTGCGATGTGGAGGCTCACATAGGAAGTCTGGAGACAGGTTACTAGGAGCTGACACCAGCAACCACCAGTTGACACAGGCAAGAAAACAATGACGTACAACTGTACAAGATACTGGGAATGGTGATACAACTGCAAACAACTAAATTCTGCCAACAACCTTAATAAACCTGGAAATGTACTCTTACCAGAGCTTCCAAATAAGATCCCTGTTGATTGTCACCTTCGTTTGGACCTTGCCGGATGTTGAACAGGGAGCTGGTTGAGCCCACTCAGACTTCAGACCTACAGAAGTGTGAGATAATAATTTATGTTGCTGAAGCCATTAATTTAGTTGAAATTGTCATGGTGCCAATATAAAACAAATACTTTATTTTAGGATGAGACTAGATAACGAAGGGCTTGTGTTGATTTTCAAGGAGATTGAAAAATATATCTCATAAATCTAATGAAAACATGAAAGTTCTGGGGAGGATGAAATTGATAATATCTTTTCTATTTGTATTAGTCCATTTTTGCACTGCTGTCAAGAACTGCCTGAGACTGGGTAGTTTATAACGGACAGAGGTTTAATTGACTCACAGTTCAGCATGGCTGGGGAGGCCTCAGGAAGCTGACAATCATGGCGGCAGGTGAAGGGGAAGCAGGCACTTTCTTCACAAGGTGGCAGAAGAGAGGGAAGTAGGAGCACAGGAAAAAACTGCCTGTTTTAAAACCAAAAGATTTCGTGAGATTCGCTATCACGAGAACAGCATGGGAGAAACCACCCCCCCCATAATCCTATCACTTCCCTCCCTCAACACGTGGGAATGGGTGGGGACACAGAACCAAAGCATAGCAGCATTTATGTTAATTCTGCTACATCATTCCTGTTAGACCATCTCTCTCCGTTTTGTTTTCCTAGAATAGCCCATTGCTTGTATTAAAATCATTTCTAGGTATAAACTTTATTCTCAGTAAAACCTTGAAAATGTGAATATACTTGGCATTTTTATTTCATCAATACGTAGGAAAATTCTGTACAAAGCCAAAATTCTTTTGATTGCCCTCATAATATAGGAAAAAAAGATGGAAATATAAATATTTTATATGAAAACTAAAATCTTCTGATATGGCCTCAAGGCATGTTGGTCAGCCTCATCCCTTTCACAAACTGGCGTCAGTGACTGTTACTCTCGGTTTCCTTCCTTGTTTCCTCACATATACTCTCCCTATTCCTCCCCCAAAATCATTACTGCTAGTTAAAATAGATCTTTCTTTCCATTTTTTATTCTTGTCACCATTTTCAGGAAATAACTATTGACCCTTTCTTTGATCAAAAGCAACTCACCAAGTACAATGTTTTTTTCTTACCTGAGGAAGGTTATTTTTTCATGTTGGAAATAAATGAAAGATTAGAAACCAAACCACACACAATCTTGCATACTGCAGTCACCAAGGAGGTAACTTTCCACCATTACTTGAGACAAATGCGTGTGTGCGTTTTTAATCTAGTCTGACCTCAGAGCCTCTAAATAGATGAAGAAATACTTGTGTAATTGAAAAAAAACTGTTCTCTCAGCCATTATTCAAAGGACACTAACTCAAATAACAAATCTTAAAGCTCTTTAAAATGTAAAAACATTTTCTTGGTGGAACATCAAATGACAGCTGATTCACATTAAAATCCATAATTACAACCAGCCCCAGGGAACAGGTCTGGCTATTTTTCATTGAAAAGAAAAAAGTATAACAATCGTAGAACACCTGCATTTATTGGCTTTTATTAAATGTGTTTGTTCTAAACTGATGTAATTTAGGCACAATCCATAGAAAATAAAATTTATTGTATATTCAGTACTGATTTGCCTGTCCATATAAGAATATTTGCAGTCTAGTGAAAATTAGCCCGATGTTATATACAGAAAAGTTTAAAACCTCTAATAACATTATTTTTTTTCATTTAAAGGCAAAGGTTTAAAATAAACTTTATATATCATAAAGTCAGCTAAAGTTATTTTTATTTCTCTTAACTAAATACATTGTGATTTTAGAAGCAAAAATATAAATTTCTGAAATTGTATACATTATCAAAACAATTTCACTGAAGAATGGGGTTTAGATCAGTAATAGGAGTGTTTCTAAGAAGGCTATTGATTACTTTCCTCCATCTATTATAAGTAACTAATAAACCATTTTTGCTATGTTTGAAATATTAAACTAATATTAAACATAACTGAACCAACTCAATGGATGAACTCTAGCATTGAGGTAGGTCTGTGTAACATATTTGTGATTATAGCAATAAAAGAAATGCATTTCAATTTTTTTCAGTTTCTACTATATACTAACTAATGGATTAGCTCTGCAGTAGTAAGTTGAAGAATGGGAAGCAGAAATAGAGTAGAAAAGATAAATGACATTTATTAAGTCCATGCTGTGGACTAGGTGTGTGATGGACTTTCTGTACATATTTATTTATACAAGAATCTTACAAATTAAAAATTATCCTCACTTAATATATAAGAAAATTGAGACTCAGACAAGTAAAATAACTCATTCAAGGTTACATAAGTGGGTTTTCAATCCTTATTCGTCTAGTTCCAGTGCCCATGACCTGGCTCTCTGGAAGGGAAACAAACTGAGGAAGAGAAAAAGTAAAATAAGCAGTGAAGGCAGAAATTGCTAAACTCTGTAGTGCTATCAGGGGCACATGGGCATCTTCCTGGAACTAGCACTACAAGAGTGTAGACCTCTCCCTACATCAACACCATTTCTTTGTAGTGAGCTATAGAGAAACTTAGAAGGCAAGACCTCAACTGCCTAAGTGGACATAAATGTAAAATTTTTAGGTCTTGTGCAGGTCCTGACTCAGAGTGAAGAACCTGAAGCCCTTGCTGCCTCAGGTGAGGAACCTAAATGGATGTCAAACAAACTCAGTAATCAATGTAAACGGTAATGTAATATTTTATTAAATCAAAATTAATGCAGGAAATCCATGATGAACAATATATTAACATTTTAAATAAAGACAAAATCAATATTACTGAGGTTTTCTTTTGCTTCATGCTTCCATGTGGCTTGGCAATAGTGCTGTGTTGTTACTGATCCTATCAGACCACTGAGCATCTGCTAGAGATGATAACAATAGAGTCAAAGGGTGAGTCAAAGAGTGCATGCATTCAAAATGCAGATAATAATCATATTTAATGACTACAGCTTGAGGTTTTAAAATTTCTTCATATCTGTAGGTGTAGTATCTTTATTTTAAAAATTTTCTTCCTTCTTTCTACTTTTCTTGGAAATTGTCAAAAATGTATTGTATTAGCCTTTTCAGATATCATACTTTGAAAATATTTATCATGTACTCCTATTTTTTGTTGTTATTTAATAATTTTATGCTCATCAATTCCACCTATATCTTTTCTGTTAGTTTGTCTACACATTAGTTTTCAACTAGAAGTCCTTTTTTAAATGTCCAAGTCCTCTCACATTTTGTATGCATATTATAGTTTTTCATATTCTATGTGTTGAAATCTCTTATTCCAAGAGCCTTTACTCAGTAATACTGGATGATGGATAAATTGTGTTGTGGGTGTTCCCATGGATTTTCTTTTGCATATGTGAGTTCCCTATTCCTCTGGGGGGAGTGTAGCTATGTATGTTAATAAACAAAAATGATTCAAGTCATTATAAACAAGGTAATATGTGAAGAGTGCAGGCAATGATATCTTGAATAAGAATAATTGGCACTGACATTGATAACTTAAATTGGAATAAAAGAGAACTAAAAGTTCACTATCATGTAGTGATTCCTTAAATTAAGGAAGGATTTGGATGTAGATTTTTAGGGGAAACATGTTACCAGGACATTTTTACGAAAATAAAAGAATGGCTGAAAAAATCATGTAAAACCCGAAGGGTCATTCAAGCAACAAATAGACATAAAAGATCTCAGATAACATCACCCCAAAAATCTAGCCAAAGAATGAGCCAAAATAAGGAGAAAGTAAAAAGAGACATTTTATGAAATGACAGATGAACAATAAGTCCTATAAATACAGCACATAGATTAAGCAACTAAAGAAAACTTCTTTCAGACTATAGAAAAAAAGGCATAAATTTTGGTAAAACAAGAATAATGCAAGTTACAAAACTCCAGAGGTTGCAGAAGAGAATTAAAAAAAAAAAACTGTCCTCACATGATCTCTTATAAAAAGATGTAGACTAGAGCAGTCTAAAAGTAAAATCTGAAGGTAAAATAGAAACCACAGGAACTTCTACCAGTAACTGCAGATTTGTAATTGATATCAACTCTCCCATGGAACACAACAACAAAATTTTCTTCAAGACACTAAGTGTTAACAAAGCAATGGAAAATTGCAAAGCCCAGATCCAAGAGATGAGCTTGGCATTGAGCATCACTTTTCAGCTCAAGATTTTTACTGATTCTAGGAAGTTAAAAAATAGATTGCAAAACTAAGGAATGCTTTTGGCAGCCAAATGCATGCAACTGTGTGAGTGTGCAAGGGAATGTGGTGGGGAGAATTGGAGCACAGTACCCTCCAGGCTTTGAGTTGGGGGCAAAGACTACACTCGATAAAGCCCAGCCCACTCAGGGACATAAAACTAGTGTCTGATTATCTGTCCACTTATGGATGCATTAAAGTAACCTGCTAGTGTCCTTAGCTTACTGCAAAGAGCAAATGTAATTCCTCTCTAGAGAATGTTAACATTTCCAGGGCCTCAAATTACTTTCAGTTTTCATATATAATGCCTAGTACTCAATTTAAAAATACATGTAAATAAATACATGACGAGATATGATGAAGAAATTATTGAAAAAAATGAGGATGATGTGGTTTGGCACTGTGTCCCTGCCCAAATCTCATCTCTAATTGTAATCTCCACATGTTGAAGGAGGGACTTGGTGGGAGGTAATTGGATCATGGGGGTGGTTTCCTCCATGCTATTCCCGTGATAGTGAGGGAGAGGTCATGAGATCTGATGGTTTTAAAAGTGGCAGTTTTGTCCAGTGCAATGGTTCACACCTGTAATCCGAGCACTTAGGGAGGCTGAGGTGGGTGGATCACTTCAGATCAGGAGTTCAAAACCAGCTGGCCAACATGGCAAAACCCCATCTCTACTAAAAAGACAAAAAAAAAAAAATAGCTGGGTATAGTGGCACACGCCTGTAATCTCAGCTACTCAGGAGGCTGAGACAGGGGAATCACTTGAACCTGGGAGGTGGAGGTTGCAGTGAGCCAAGATCACACCATTGCACTTCAGTCTGGGCTACACAGCAAGACTCTGTCTCAAAAAAAAGAAAATGGCAGTTTTTCCTGCTCTCTCTCCTGCTGCCATGTAAGATGTGCCTTGCTTCTCCTTTACCTTTTGTCATGGTTGTATGTTTCCTGAGGCCTCCCCAGCCATGCAGAACTGTGAATCAAGTAAATCATTTTTATTTATAAATTACCCAGTCTCAGGTAGTATCTTTATAGTAATTTGAAAACTGACTAATACAGCAGACATATAAGAGAAAAATCAACAATAAAAAAAGTTTTGCCTGGAAAAAATAATGAATCTCTTTATAATTGCATAATTATAGTACAGATGTTCCTCAACTTATGATAGGGTTACATCCTGATAAGCCCAATATAATTGAAAATATCATAAGTAGAAAATGCATTTAATATACCCAATCTGCCAAGCATCATCGCTTAGCCTAGCCTACCTTAAACATGCTCAGTGCACTAACATTAGCCTAAAGTTGGGCAAAATTATCTAACAGAAAGACTACTTTATCAGAAAGTGTTGAATCTCTCATGTAATGTATTGAATATGGTACGTTATGTTGAAATTGTGATTGTTTTGCAGTATTGTAAAGTCGAAAAATTGTAAGTCAAACCATCATTAAGTCAAGGACTATCCGTATATTTAAATTCTTTTATACAGACACACACACACACATACATACACACAGAGAAAGAGGGGAAGAGAGTGACAGAAAGATAAACAGTGAGACAGAAAGAGAGACCAGAAATTACCAGTGTGAGAAATTAATAAAAGAGAGGACATCACTACAGTTTCTATAGACATCAAAACAAGTATAAAAGATTTATAGTGGCCCCAGCTAGTGTGAGAAGGCAATTAAAAGAAGTTAAATTTGTAAATATTGAAAAGGAAAGGTAAATGCTATTTTGGAGATGGCATGGCTATGTACAAATGTCAAAAATTATCTACAAACAATTAGAAATAAAAGCCAGTTTGGTAAGGTGACTGGATTTATAACAAATGCACAAAAAGCAAAAATCAATTGTATACCTATTACACTTTTTGTTTGATAAAGTAGAAATAATTCATCACAAACAAGGACAGAAAGGAAAGGGAATAAACGCATCCTTAAGTTGTGTACCCTAGATGCCTCTCTTGCTTCACCCTAGGCTCAGTCCTGATGAAAATGGCTCATTATTTTTTGGAGAAATTTAAATTAAAACTGTAATGACATACCATTCTACACATACTATTTTGTCTAACTTTAAAAGACTAACAATAATGATTACAAATGAAGATACAGAACAAGGGAAATTCTCATAGACTGTTGGAGAAAAAGTAAATGGATGCAGCTACCCACTTACATATTTGTACCACAAAATACAAGCAAGGATGTTCATAGCAGCATTATTTGTTTAAAAAAAGACAAATTTTTAAAATTGTATGTTGAATATTATTCAGGAATGAAAATGAACAAATTAGAACTACATGTAACAACATAGGTCAATCTCACAAAGCATAATGTTAAGCAATAAAATAAAATAAATGAGTGTGTATTTGTTTCCTGGGGCTGTTGTAACAACTTATCACAAACTTAGTGATTTTAAACAAGATAAATTTATTCTCTCTCAGTTAGAGAGACCAGAAGTACAACATTCGTTTCACTGACCTAAAGTCAAGATGGCAGAAGGGCTATATTCTCAATGGAGACTCCAGATGATAATCCATTCATGGCCTCTTCCATCGTGTGGGCTTTCCTGTATTTTCAAAGCCAGCAACAGAGCATCTTCAAACTTCTCCGTTTCTGTTGTCCCATTGCCTTCTGCTTCCTCTGTCTCTTTTTACAAGGACACTTGTGATGGCATTTAGGGCTCACTCGGATAACTCAGGATGAATTCTCAAATTTCTTTTTTCTTTCTTTTTTTTTTTTTTTTTTCTTGATACAGAGTCTTGCTCTGCCACCCAGGCTGGAGTGCAATGGCGCGATCTTGGCTTACTGCAACCTCTGCCTCCTGTGTTCAAGTGATTCTCCCTGCCTCAGGCTCTCGAGTAGCTGGGATTACAGGCGCCACCACCACCACACCCAGCTAACTTTTGTATTTTTGGTAGATACGGGCTTTTCACCATGTTGGCCAGGCTGGTCTCGAACTCCTGACCTCAGGTGAATCCACCTGCCTTGGCCTTTCAAAGTGCTGGGATTACAGACATGAGCCACTGTGCCCGGCCTCAAATGTCTTAAATACATCTGCAAATGCCCTACTTCAAATAAGGTCAGGCTCCATGGATTAAGACTTGGACATGCCTTTCAGAGGCATTATTGGCCTACCGCAGAGTAGGTATATAAATATCAAAACATTAAGAAAAGTAAATTCCGAATAGTGGGTATCTTTGAAGACAAATGAAGGAGTAGTAATCTATTTTGCAAAAAAAAAATGTTATTCTGAGTGGTAGTTGTGGAGGTATTTGTTTTGTGATAATTCTTTAAGGTGTATACATTTTCTTAGGATTTGACATTACATATATATGTTTATGAATAAATTATTCATAGATATACATATATTAAAATTTAAGAAATAAATTAGAATGACTCAATGTTCTAATGTTTTTTAATTTTTTTTTAAATGTGACCTTTTAGGAAATAATGCAGTCACATAGATAAATTTAATACTTCCAATTAAAAAAGCAGATATAGTATTCTTTTATTATAAAATTATTTTTTATCTATTCTGCTATTTCTCCCTCTCTCACTATACATATAGTTATGCATCTTCCATCTATATCCAAACTTTTTGGAGTATGAAATTTGAAACACATATAACTATTTTACAGCTATTATAATAATTGTATGTGCTTATTCCTTTTAAACTTGAAAAATACCAAAAAGTGCAAAGAAGAAACAAAAAAAAAACCACCCAAATGAATTCTACCAACTGTTAACATTGGTTGTTTCTGAAAATTTGGGGTGATTTATTTTGTTTTCTTTGTACTCTTTGGCATGAATTATTTCTATAAAATAAGCAAAGTCATTACTATAAAAATCACTGAAATAAAACCTATGTAGAAATTGTAATAATGAAGATAACAAAGAGCGGAATCACTGCTTACATAGCCATTTATTTAGTGCTTACCATCTACTATGCATCATTCAGTGTGTATTACATTTCGTTTTTCATCATCACAATAATTTTGCAAGATATATACATATATATAAAACAGAATATTGTATCTGTATTTATTATAGATGATAAAACATAGGTGTTTTGTGAGTTTAAGTGACAGCCAGCAAACAATATTGCTGGGTTATGGTACCCAAGAGTTCTGGCTTCAGTGTGAAAAAAAAATATTCAATGTTTTCCACTGCTGCTCTGGATGATTCTAATTCAATTATGACTGAATCAGATGGATGTATTGACAATTCAGAAGTGCAGATTATTCAATGAAACCATGTACATGTGCATGTTTGTTTTCTCCTCAAATCTTGCTCCCCTTCTTCATTCTTTCAACCAACACCTAATGCCTCCCTCAAAACACACAATACACACAAACACAACTAATCCCTTGAGAGCTGAGGCCATAGCTGACACATATTTCAACACCAGAGTCTAGCACAGAATCTAGCACTAAAAGTCACCCCCAGAGTGTTTACTATAAATAAACTAGTGATGAGACTGTAGCTTAAATCCACGACCATCAACTCTGCTGCCACACTCCCAAGCAAGAGTTAGGTCCATCATTGAAGCTAGGTAGTTGTGATTTATGCAGAAGCTTTGTAAAGAAAACCAGAGCTTGGGTAGTGGGTAGCAATAATCTCTTCTCAATTTTCCCTATGAAGAGATAAACTCATTGCAGTCTATAGCTACCAAACACAGAGGTCACAAGATGTCTGTGACAAGAACTCCCACTGCTATGGTCTTCCACAAATAATGCTAATGGAAACAGAGAGGAAAAACAATTATCAAACAATCAAATAAAGGTCTGACTGCATGCTCTTTTTCAATATTTTGCATCTGAGGATATCAGAAAGGAAAGCAATTCAGAGGTGCAAATTGCCTAACGTGCAAATCAATAACATGCTGGTCTAATGCTCGATTTCATGAGATTGCTGTTATATAAATGTACGGAAAAGCAAATAATCAGGAGCCAAAATTGTCTCTTATCAGGGAAAGTTGATAATTAGTTTGCATTGTCACAGAATTCCAAATAGTACTGATTAATTAAGCCAATATGTATTCCAAGCAGCAACAGCTACCAATAGTCAGCCTGTGTGGGGAGAAGCATAAATCCAATGAACTCAAATTTAATACTCCTAATTGTACCAATGTAAGTAACAGTCAATGACTGAGCATGCAGCCCTTTCCCTAGACAATCTCTAAAATAGTTTTTAACTGAATTTTGTGAACAGTATGTAGAGAAAATCTAAGGAAAAAAACACAGTGACGGCAAGAATTCCCAAAATGCAAATCAGAAAACATTAAAATAATATTATGAAAGTTTGATTTTCACAATTAGGGTATTTTTCAAGTTCAATTCACATTCTCATTTTTGTATTTTTCTTTTAATTTTTCAATTTCTAGACATATTTATGCAATTATTTGTAAATCTGTCTAAATTATAGAAAAAATTTTGCCCATTTGAATGTCATAGAAACAGAAATATAAAAACAATTTTAAGACATAAATATTCTTGAAGATTTATAACCAAATATTTTTATTCCTTATTCAACTAAAAATATTTCCTTATATCTGTGCCCTAATTAAAATAAAATGAACATTTTAAGATACTGGTTTTCAGCATTTTCTTACTTTTTTTGTAAGTGGTACAAAACTAAGTAACTAGTTCTCCTTCGCATAAAGAACTGCTCACCAGTCTCCAAGAACAGCTGTTTAATTCGGACAAAGAAGAAAATAATACAGATACACCTTTCTCTCCTCCAGAACAAAGCAAAGAGAAAGAGATCAAATTGACAGAGAGTGGGAAGAGAGATGATTTGTTCTTGAAGACAGACATGAAAAGTCAAGATATGAATTTTAGATAGACAGTGTAAGAATTTGACAAGTGAAAAGATAATCAACTTTGTGATTGAGGTCAGGAGATCGCGACCACCCTGGCTAACACGGTGAAACCCTGTCTCTACTGAAAAATAGAAAAAATTAGCCGGGCGTGGTGGCGGGTGCCTGTAGTCCTAGCTACTAGGGAGGCTGAGGCAGGAGAATGGCATGAAGCCGGGAGGTGGAGCTTGCAGTGACGATCATGCCACTGCACTCCAGCCTGGGTGACAGAGCGAGACTCCGTCTCAAAAAAAAAAAAAAAACTTAGTGATCTGTTATATATTTGCAATGTCAGAAAAAATAAGATATTATGCTTCAACTTCAAATCATCGGCTATAGTACTGTAGTTGATGCAAGGGATGTAGATTTTAAGAAGAACAAAGAGACCATGAGCCAAACTTGAGTGCCCTTCCTCCAGGTGTTTTTTTGTCATCTTAATCAAACTAAGGTTCCTGTATATTTGGGATTGATTGCTAGAAGTTTAATCTGCCCCATTGTTGCCTTTCATCTACTTCTTTGTTGCCTGAGAAGTAGATTGATTTATTGATTTTGATTTTTAAGTTCAAGAAGGATATTTTAGTGCCAGGCAAAAGTACCTAATTTATAAGGTGCTGAAAATGTATGAAGATGCCACCTTTCCACTGAGTTTCTAAAAAACTTAATTGGCCTACTAAAATAATAGGCTTGATTTTGAGGCCTGACTGCCAGGTTACAAAGTGCTGACTGGCTCAGATCTGTCCCTTTCAAGCTTAATGAACAGTCTTTGTTCAACTTTCAAACATTCCATATGGTTAGTGCTTGATGGAACACAATATTTTCACCAAGAAAGAGAATTTCAATACATTTACTCATAGCTGCTAATTGAATAGCCTATATAGAGTCAAAATTTAGCCTATGTGTCTCTAATTTTTCTAATTATATATATATAATATATATAGAGAGAGAAGTTCTATGTTCATATATATATATATTTTTTATTTTGGAGAAGTTCTATGTTCACTAGCTACCATACTCTGGGGAACTTATATAAAACGGGCTGCCAGAACATGCATGATTGATTTGGTT
Source organism: Homo sapiens (assembly GCF_000001405.40). Classification (NCBI taxonomy): domain Eukaryota; kingdom Metazoa; phylum Chordata; class Mammalia; order Primates; family Hominidae; genus Homo; species Homo sapiens. Next base: position 37,478,825 of record NC_000012.12, on the reverse strand, counting down.
TTGTCGCTGATACCCACAAAATCTTGATTTCCCTTGACTTTCTACTCAGCAAGCTAGTAAATAAATTTATTAGTGGCAATATCATAGCACTTTTCTCTGATGAGCTCAAAGTATTTTCCAAGCATCTTCTCATTAATCTTTACAATATTTCTATGAAGTTAACTAGCAGAGATATATCTATTTTAGGGTAGAGATCAAATTGTTTTATGGATAGGTGAGTTGTCCAGAATTGTATAGATTATTACTGGGGAAGAAGGAAGAAAATTAGATTTCCCATATCTCAGATAACCATATAATTTATTCTGCAAACTAGGAAACTTGTGAAAGTGATAGGGACACTATTAATAATGATGCCAGGAGAACACTGACAAACTGAGAATACAACCATGCCACCTATATCCTACTGAATGGAATAGCAAGAAAATCACAATACCTAGTTGAAAGTTGTAAGCCAGAGGATTTGTTTCATTATTTTGAGTTGCTGTAAAATAAAATTCTACTATGAATAGTTTGTTGCATTTACTTCCATTATTTTAATATGTATTTTTTCAAACATACTTGGGATTATAACTTACATGTAATTTTGTATTCAGGATTTTTAATTTGACACTTCAAACTGTTTTGCAAATATACAAAAATGCTTTATAAACATTTACAAATTACCACATTATGTTAACATATATGGATTTACCATAATCAACATAACCATAGCCCAGTTATTATTTACAATTATTTAGATTTATGAATAGTGCTCCAAGGAGATTTTTAGCTTACATTTTTCATATAGCTTTAACAATCTCCTTAGGATATATATATTTTTGATTGTCTCCAGTTATATTTTTAATCTTTATTTACAATTTATTCTAATTTTCAGGCTTTAAGTTTACCTTTTGGGGGAATTTATTCTTTAATCTTGTTAGAACTTGTTTTGGTGACTGGTAGATGGGAACAATTATGAATGGTGTCATTACTTGTCTTAGTCTGCTTGAACTGCCATCACAAAATACCACAGACTGTTTGGTTTAAACAGAAATGTATTTTCTTACACATCTGGAGGCTGGAAAGTCCAAGATCAGGATCTGTGAATGTTTGCTATCTGGTGAGCGTTCTCTTGCAGACAGTCAAGTTCTCTCACTCTGTCCTCACATTGCAGGGAAAGAGAGCAAGCTCTCTGGTGTCTATGTTATAAGGGAACTAATTCCATCATGAGAACCCTGCCCTTATGACATCATCTAAAACTTGTTACTTCCCAAAGGCCCTGTACCCAAACATCATCACATAAATTCTGAATTTTGGGTTAAATTACATCTCTCTCATTATAATACTATTCTATTAATATTATTTAATTGGTAATATATGTTGAAGTTTCTGGAGATTATTGTTTTTCTATTAACATGATAAATTATAGTAAACTATTTCCTAATAGTCATCCATTCTTGCTTACTAACATGAACACTACTTGATTGTGAAGTATGATTTTAATGGGATTGCAACTTTTAATTGTAAAGTACAGCTTTAGAATATTTGCAGTAATATTTATTAGTGGAATAGACCTGTATTTTATTGTATGTAGTGTATATGAGAGAGACGAAGGGAGAGGGATGGGAAGAGAACACATGTGTTCAGCTTTGGTCAAGTTTACTATAAATACAATATTTATTCATAAATATATTTGGAATTGTTTTTATTTTCTGTACATGGAAACATCTAAAGCTATAGATTTCTCCTCTCCCTCTCACTGTCACTCTTGCTCTGTCTGTGTGTGCCTGAACATGTGTGTGCATGCATCATTTAGCCCTGCTGACTGATATGCCTGGTTATTTATGATCAAAAGCCAGACATTGATCTAAGAGAAAAAGTCTTTAGATGGGATCTCCCTCCAAAGAAATTGTAGTTTTCTTCTGGCTTAGAGGTAGATCTTCTTGGTCCAATCAGGCTGAAATGTCTTGAGGCTAGATTTCAGTTTTTGTGGCAGCTGGTGCATTTCTAGTTTGCCTTTTCAGCTAGGGATTAGCTTTTTAGGGGTCTCAATGCCTAGGGAGATTTCTAGGTCCTCTGTTCCTTGTTGAACTCCAATTTTGTCTATCCTTTTGCTGAGAGGTCTGCTTAACTTCCTTTTAGTCAGGTAGCTCCATTTTATTCTAAGCTTCTTTGTTGCTCACCTTCTGCAACTAAAGAATCAGAAAATGCCATGAAGGAAAAACAAAATGAAATTGTTTTGTTTCTACTGGCCCTTTCTCAAGCCCTGGCCACCATGATAGTCATGAATTCCAATCTTTGTCTATGCAGGCCTATAAGATTTCTAAAATCTCTGAGCTACGATTTTCTTCTTGGCTATCAGCTCAGCAAATGTATCCAAATGAAAGGTTGTGGAGAATGTTGAAATCACTTCAGTGTGTTTCTCTTCTTTCTGGGAGCTTACACACTCAAGTTCTGGATGCTTTGATTGCTATCAGAAGCCCTTAAATAGCTACTTATTTTTAATTAATTTTATCCAGCTTTCATAATTGTTCTTGCCAGGTGGGATGGCCTGATACAAATTAACTTGTCATAGCTAGAATTAGAAGAGGAAAACTTTAAACAGCATTGAGTTATCAGTACTTTCATGTCTTGATACATTTCTTCTTGAAAATGTTCATGCTTTCTGATTTGTCTGTTTGTTGAGAGGAGAATGTTCAGAATTTTATATCTTTAACATCTTTTTCTGCATTAATAAGATACTGAGATTTTATAACTCTTGTCATTTTGGTCACTTATATTTTCATATGGAAAAAATAATATAATCCAGGGTTACCAATATATTTGTGTAAAATTAAGAAAATGATCTTATCTAATTACTTGATCAATATCTGTGATTATATTTTCATTGCCTTCCAATTTTAATATATGTTCTCTATTCCTTCTTAATCTGGATTGAGGTTCTGATTAATTATTTTAATATTGCAAATTGTTTTCACTTTTTCCATAAAATGAGTTCTGGAGTTTATTTCTTTACTGCATCATTCTATTTTCAAGTCATGAACTTCTGCTTTAATTAAAAAAAAAAAACCTCACTATTTCTATGAAATTGTTGTGTTCATATTTGATTTTTATTTACTGTATAATTCAGTATGGAATATATAATATTATAAAATATGTAATAATAGGATAAAAAATAAGATACAAAAAGCAAGGGGTGTGAGCTTGGAGAATTATACTTACTGATATGGTGAAATAACTCTGACCAAAATAACCTTCCAGCAATAAACACAAAATTGGAAAACTGGATAAAATATACATGGTAACATGTTAGGTCAGCTTTGTCTGTCTTCAACCAACTATAAATATTGTTCTACCCTTGTTATTTATTTATTCTTTTCCATTTTGTTTTGCTCGATTTTTTTCTTATACACCATTTATTTGAGTAAATTTTGATAATATCTATTCTTCATTTTTGCTGTTTCTAGTGTGGTATATATTTCTCAGATAAAAGATATTTTCCCTTTTATCTTTCCCTAAGCTCACACTACATATATTGCATTTATCTTATATCTGCTTTAAAACCTATTTATGTCTTTTTAGGTCACTTACATCAGAGCAGTTGTGTTGGTGCAGGAAGGGGAGTTTGATTTAATGAAACAATGCATTAAAAATTTGTATTCACTTTGTGATTCAATGATAGTCAATGTGACATGTAATTTTTTTCTGTCTTTTAATACTATATTGTCTTTGTTGCTTTTCTCTAACATGAAATATATGTTACACAGGCACAGTGCTGGTATCTTTTCTATTATTATCTTTGAATGGGACTCATTATTGTCTGAGCTATTTATTAAAATAGTGAAGGAAAAGATCAGTAAAGTAAATTATGTCAATAGGCAGTATCAATTTAGGTCTATTTTCCATGAATATTTTCTCAGCAACTGTGGTGTTATGATATATATTGGTTTTCATCCACAGTTCCTGGCTTATAACGCCCCTAGCACTTGTTACAGTGTTTTGTTATAATATTGGGTGTGTTAGGCCTCAGGAGCAGGCCTCTCACCTTCTCTTGGTCTTTTTTCATTTTTATGTTCCTGCCTTTCTGGTTGTGGGTCTTAAAACCATCTCAGGAGAGAGTCCCACCCTATACCCTGGAGGGAGGAATGCTGATATCATGAAACTTCCATGAAAATCCAGGAGGACAGGGTTTAATGAGTTTCTATGTAGTTGAACACATGGATGTTCCTGGAGGGTGGCTCACCCAGGGATGGCATGGAAGCTCTGCTCCCTTCCCCCATGCATTATTCTAAGTGTCTCTTCATCTATATCCTTTGCAATATCCTTTATAATACACCAGGAAATGTAAGTGTTTCCCTGAGTTCTGTGAGCCACTCCAACAAATTAATCAAACCCAAAGAGGGGGTCAGGAGAACCCAACTTGAAGCCAGTAGGTCAGAAGTTCAGAGGCCTGGACTTGTGGCTGGTAGGTTGAGGGTGGGCAGTCTTGGGGACTGACCTGTGAGATCTGACACTATCTCCAGGTAGACAGTGTAGTGTCAGAACTGAATTAGAGGACACTCAGCTGGCATCTGCTCCTTGGTGTATGTATGGAGGAAAAAACCCACACATTCGGTCACAGAAGTCTTCTGTGTTGCTGATTGATCTTTGTGGTGTGAGGCTAGAGGAAAAACATAGAGAGTTTTCTCCACACAGCAACTATATAATCTGTGGGAATATCTCTTTTTACACCTAGCCCTACCTCTATCTGGCTACAGTCATTTATCTGGCCTTGGGAAATGTGACCACAGAATCAGATATACACATGAGATTAAATAATACATGTGTATGTCATTTAAATATCTAGAAAAGTTATGACTTCACCAGGTATGAAGAATATAAAAAGAACTTTGTCAAGAATCATACAGTAAATATATTTTTGAATTTAATCTAGTACCTAAACAATCAGAGTAGGGAGGTTAGATATTAAAATCAAGCTAAAGATGTAGGCAACACGGATCTAGAAAACATGGATTGCATGGCCATTTCACTTAGAGTTCATGGGCTTGGAAACTCTATTAACATAAATTTTACAACGTTAGAATTTGTTCCCATATTAATGAGGGAAAAATAAACAATTACCCTGAATATCTGAAGCTCCAGATCTCATTTTCCAGTCAAAATCTCTGATAGGTAAACAATCTGAAAAAGTAGCCACAACTCACTGATATGATAACCCCATTTGCTTAAGAGAATGTAATTGTTTTTATGATTTTTTTATCCCAGGAAAACATTGAAAAAAAGTTTAGAGATGATGAAGTATATGAAAACTATAATATGTATACTTAAGAGATGTGATATTTATTTATAATTGTATTAGTATTTAAATATAGATTAGCATTTTACATTCCAATTTTAAATGTGTAACAGAATATTTTAGATATTGGGTTTTTTTTTTAGTTGAAATTATAAGCAGTTTTACCAAGTTGCCAGTTGTGGTTTAACACTGAAGATAATTTAAGATTCATGATTTTGTGAGTTTAATTTATTAGCTCTATAAGGGTTGTTTAAGTACTCTGAAGGCTTTATTTGTTAGTCCAATAATTAAAATGTTCACAAAGATAATTCAACATATTAAATTTATAAATATAGTTTAAAATCTTTAAGGGAGTTTAATTAACTAAGTTGTAAATGGACCAAACATTAATCAAAGTCACCCTTAAAAATAATTTTTAATGCACTAGATTTATAACTAGAACAATAAGATTTCTAATTTAAACTCAAAAATTTTTTAAATTGGGTAGCAATTTAACATAATATGCTGCATATTAATTCAGAATATGAAATCTTGTAAGTAGTCCTTTTTACATTCAAGAATCACATTGATAAACATCACAAAATGCCCACTGGTAACCACTATGAAACTCTTTAAGCAATAGGTCTTGTATGAATTTTACTCCTCATGATTTGAAGATTATGCATAAATTCCTTCTTCTTGTTATTCTGTTTCCAATTTAGTCTTTACATAGACAATTCAATTTAGTCTTTACATAGACAAAACTCCTATAACAGAAAAACTAAAAACAAAGAGGGTGCATTCCTTCGCTTGCTTTCTGAGGACGCCCTAATCTAAAAGGCAGTAGCTTTCAATAAACTATGTCTTCTCATTGTACTCTGTGACTCACCTTGAATTCTTTCCTGTGTGAGGCCCAAGAACCCACTCTTGAAGTGTGGATCGGGACCTCTTTTTCCAGTAACGCTAGTACTGTTATAATTAGGTAAATGTTACTCACACCTGAAACATGGAGCATAAATGATTGAATTTCATTTCTACACAACATTTTTTTCCTTAAACTGACAATTTTTGAAAATTTTTGTTTTGTTCATTTTTCTATGTATGTATCAAAGTACCAACTCCAAACTCTACCCCAGTTTTCCAATGAGTCTCCTAATGCATTCAGAAGCATTAGACATTTTATCAGATTTATCTTTTTGAAATTTTTTTTCTAGATAGCTCTAATTTACACAGGTTGCTGTGTACACATACTGTACATCTAATAACCAGGAGATTCCCTGTACTTTATACCCTACTCTTTCTTCATTTACTTCCTCATTTTAGTGAAACTCTTCTCAAGTAAATTCCTGAGATAGGATGTATTGGATGTAGAGTTTTAGAATCTTGCCACGCTGTAAATGTTTATTATTGTTTCCTCCTATCTGATTTACAGTTTGGTTGGAGATACTATTCTGCATTAGAAATAATTTGTTTTGCAATTTATAATGCTTTTCTTGGCTTCTAGTGACCATTTTTATTTCTCTTATCTGGAAATTTGAAGTGTCTTTTTTTTTTTTTTCTGGAGTGTGCTGATGTGTGTGTGTGTGTGTGTGTGTGTGTGTGTGTGTGTGTGTTGGTCTAGGTCTATTTTCACCACTGGCTTGAATTCTGGTGGACCATTCAATCTGAAATTCATACACTTTAACTCTTACCCATTTCAAAAAATTATTTACATATATCATACTTCATTGTACTTTTTTCTTTTCCCAAATGCCTTTATTTTGTTGCTGGCCCTATAAGACCAATTATTTAATTCATTAAACTTTCCCTTTCTCATTCCCAACTCTGTTTACACTAACTTTTCTGGAGATGCAGTCAGCTTTACCTTCCAAATCTCCCATTAAGTTATATATTTCTGCAATAAATTTCTTAAATTTTAAGAATTCTATTTTTTTGAATATCCATTTTATATCACACCTTGTCCTTGTTGTATTATCTTATCTTCCCTCTCTGAGGAAATTAATGATTACTTTTTCCCCACACTGTATAGACTCTGTTTACTTTCAGTTTTTTTGTTTATTTTTTGTTTCTGTGTTTGTTTGTTATTGGCTGTACCTAGAATCTCATGATTGTTGGTTATCTGTTTGTGTTCAAGAGCAATACAATAAATGTTTATGGTAAGCTTCAGGTTCTTAGGTAATAATTGTCAACTGTGGCTTCCAGACAGGGCAATCAGGTCGAGAAGTTTTCCCAGAAAAGCTCCTCATGACATATCCACTGGTCTATTCCTTTGGGCTGATCATGATCTTCCAACTAGAGTCTTCCAGTCTTCTCTGAGGATATAAGACTAATAGACTGTTATGTTTTGAATCTAGATAGAGGTGAAAATTGGGGAGATCTAGCTTTCAGTAGTTACTGTTCATTTTGCCCCCCTAATTTATGTATGACCTTTGAAGATGATATTGCCTGTGCTAAGATTCCCTGTTACCTCTCTAGACTGTAAATGTCTACTTTTCCACCAGCAGAACCTAGAGGCATTAATGAGGCTTGATGGCGCGGGCATTGGAAACAGTCTTTCAACCAATCTTCCTGGGTTTTAGCCCTACCTTTACTTCTACTTTCAGAGGTATCCCATGCAACCAATTTATGAACATTTTGTAGAATCAGATTTCCCCGCTACTTACACTTTTGCACTTTTTGGTAAGCTAAGTCAGTTACCAGCCATTTATGGACTTCCTATTTTCAAAAATGTTGCTGTTTTCTTTTCATATCACTTGAATAAGCCATTTGCCATCATGTTATAGTTTCAGGTGGGAAAATTAGTCTCTCTATGTGTTTAACATGCCATATTTGCTCAGGTGTCTGAATCTACCTTCACCATTGTTTGAAGAAAGTCTAAATTGTTATGGAACTAACAACTAGTCTTCAAAGTTTGGTTTATAATTTTTAATGGTGTTTATTTTTAACAAAATTGGTGGAGTTTCTTTTCTTTGTACACTGATTTTTCTTTTGGTTTTCAGTTGTTTTAAGAAATAAATGGAGGGAGAGATATGCTTCCTTTGCTCCCATTAACCAAAATAGTAGTTTGAACAACACAGGAATTAACTTTTCCATTAAGTTTAAGAGGACCTGCTTGAGACACAGCTGGGCCTTGAGCTTTTAAAGGTGCTATAACTTTACACCGGTTTCATTTTTTCTGTTGTTGGTATCTTCAAATGTTCTCATTTCTCTAGATTTATTTTTATAGTTAAATTTTCCCTAAAAAATTAACCTCTTCATATATATTTTCAAATATAATGACCAAAAGGTACATATTGCATTCTTTTGAAATTTTCAATTATCCAGTTTTCCATTTTTCTTGTTATATTTTAATAGGCTCTCTCTTTTTTGTCATCTAATTTATTTGTCTTTTCAAAGAAACAATGTTTTGGATTTATTGAAAAATTCCATTGCTGTTGGGATGGGAGAAGATTAAATCCTTAAAATAATAGGTCAGGCATGGTGGCTCACACCTGTAATCTCAGCACTTTGGAAGGCCAAGGTGGGTGGATCACTTGAGGACAGGGGTTCAATGCCAGCCTGGCCGATATGGTGAAACCCCTTCTCTACTAAAAACACAAAAATACAAAAATTAGCCGGGCATGGTGGCATGTGCCTGTAGTCTCAGCTACTTGCAAAACCGAGGCAAAAGAAATCACTCAAACCCAGAGGTGGAGGTTGTATTGAGCCAAGATTGTGCCACTGCACTCCAGCCTGGGTGACAGAGAAAGACTCTGTCTCAAAAAAACAAACAAAAACAAAACAAAACAAAAAAGAACTTTAAATAATAGTATATTGTTTTGCAGATTATAAGATCAATAGATATTTATTGTAAAATGCACAAATAGTGCAACATTTCTTAAAGTAGACAGTGAAATGCTACACGTTGCCATATTTCTCCAAGAGGTACTATTGGGCCTTCATACGAAGCAATTCTTCCTTATATAGGACTGTTTGTCTCAATGCACTGTTTGGCCCAATGCATGCTGCATGTGATCTTTACCCTTTACTTGTAAGTGCTTGTCATGTCTCCATCATTGATACAACCAAAAATAACCTACATTTACAAAATCACTCCAAAGGAATGGTCCTGAGAAAGAGTTGAAAATTCTCAACTCCTCAGATTAGATCTCTATTAAATAATTGAACAAGTGTGCTAACTAATATTTGCAAAGCTGTTCATTATACAAGTTTATAAAAAATGCAAAGATGGTAATGACTTAAATTTTCAATAGATATGTTTTATAAAAATGCTGGTTAAAATTAACATTTTACAGTCATTTTAAATGATGGCAAGATATCCAATGTATTTTCAAATGAAATATCAGGTCACTACAAATCATAATTAGCATAATCCCATTTTTAAAAAAAGTACACATACGCGTTTTATGAGTGACAGTATTTGAGTTCTAATTAAATTGTTGTCGGTGGATTTCTAAGGAATAGAGGAAATGATGAGGCAAGTGGGATTGTAGAGAGAGGGAGATTTCAATTTACATTTAATTCACTCCTGGAGTGTTTGGGTTTTTTAATAAAACATTATAAAATGTTATATCATTTACAGTATGATCACTTATAAACTTTCATTTCAATTAAAAGGAAATTTTTAAAAAGAGGACTACCAAATAACTACTGCAGCCATTGTAGTTTCATAAATGACTTTTTCCTTCCTTCATGTTGTGTTAATGTTTGCCTGCTAGGTCAAGACCCAGATTTGACACTGTGTACAGTCAGGATATAAGTATCAAAACAGAAGATTACCTATCAGGGTACCCTAGCTTCCGCATTCCTGAGCAAGTTGGGAAGCCATAGTGTCCAACTCTCTCAATATGTACTAATGAAACAGAGATACTTTTGCCAAAGGATATTCTTCTTGATGGTAAAAATATTAGCTGACATTTGTTAGCTGACAAAAATGAAGTATATTAAATATGCTAAGGGAAACTGTGGTTCAAGTGATAGAGATTTTTAATTCTTTTTGAGATCATGTAATTATACCCATGACAAGGTAAGTTTGATTCAGAATAATTTCTGTCAAAATAAAGGATGCTGTTGATGGCCTGTTTGTCCCCTGCCTATTGACTATTATTCTCAAACTCAAGCAAAATTAATTTTTAAATAACAGGATAAGAAATACGAGTAAGTGCTGCCTTTTGTGGGGCAGGTTGAAAGTATGGAAAAAATTCAGAAAGGACCTAGTCAGGAATAGATGAGAAAAGAAATATATATATTATTTTGGCCATTGATATGGTTTGGCTCTGTGTCCCCACCCAAATCTCATCTTGAATTGTAATCCCCACGTGTAAAGGAAGGAACCTGGTGGGAGGTGATTGGATCATAGGAGCAGCTTCCCCCATGCTGTTCTCATGATAATTAGTTGAGTTCTCCAGAGATCTGATTGGTTTATAAGTGTTTTACAGTTCCTCCTTCACATGCTTACTTTCTCCCTTGCCTGCCACCATAGAAGATGTGTCTGCTTCTCCTCCCACCATCATGGTAAGTTTCCTGAGGCTTCTCCAGCATGCAGAAGTGTGAGTCAATTAAACCTTTTTTCCTTTATAAATTACCCAGTCTCAGGAAAGTCTTTTATGACAGTGTGAAAACGGACAAATACAGCCATGAAAAATGAATAATGGTTAAATGGTAGGAAGAAGAAAGAACATTCTTGGCCTAGAGAGTACAAAAGGAAAGCCATGGGGTTGGACCTAAAAAGAATACAAAGGAAGAGGAGAGAAGAGTACTAATTGTACTTAGGAGCTGAATTGGGAAATTTTTTACAAAACCAAGAAATACCAAACTTAGTGAACTATTTTGGGACCAGTGAATAAAGAAATATTAAAGTGATGAAAAATAATTTAAGTAAATATGAGAAGAAAAATTAAGAATATTTGTATATTTTTGATCAAAGGATGTAATGATTAAAGTTACATTATAAATTATTCTATCTATGGAATTAATTATGGATTGAAAAGAATAAAAGTCAGACAAACTATAAACTCTCATTCTTTATTTTGGAACTTGAACTTATGTATCTAAGTTAATCAGATATTTTTATGTTATTTTTACAAAAGTACCTATGCATTAATTTAGAAAGATTTTTATTGTCTGTTTTCTATAAAAATAAAGTATAAGATTTTACTACTTCAGATAATATTTGCTATAAGTCAATCTATGTCTTCCAAGAAAATCTCTTGGTCAGGACTCATACTTCTCCACGTTTCAGATTTGATTTCTTTTCAGAGAGGTAAGATTTGTTGCTGTGTCTCCTTAAATTGAAATAGACGTAATTAATGTGGCTATAGTGAGAGTCATGTTCAATGTAGTAATTGTGTTCTGAAACATTCATCTTAAAATGAAATATTTTCTCCTCTAACTGGAGTCTTTCATTTACAATTAACTTAAATTTTAGTCTTTACACTGGAAACTCTTCTTTAAAGAAGATATGACTATTTTGTTCTCATAAAAGCTAGACTCTTGGAGAAGACAGAAGCTGCAACAGCAGGAAGATTAATGTGGATCCTAGAATCTAGAAAGTTGTCTAGAGACTATTTAAAGTGGTTACTGCAAGAAAGCTCAAAAAGACAGTAATCATTCAGAATAGGAAGAGATAGAAACCCTTAAATAAAATAACAATACCAGGTGTGTATAGTCAGAAGGAGAGATTTTGCCTATATTATTCTGGGGAAAGAAATAAAATATTTCTGTATAACATCATAGAAACGTAAATGGAGATGTTAAATTTCTCTGATGAGTAGTTTGAGAAAAATTTTAAAAATTGAAAAGATTTTTTTTTTTTTTTGAGACGGAGTCTCGCTGTGTCATCCAGGCTGGAGTGCAGTGGCGCCATCTCGGCTCACTGCGAGCTCAGCCTCCTGGGTTAATGCCATTCTCCTGCCTCAGCGTCTCGAGTAGCGGGACTACAGGCGCCTGCCACTACGCCCGGCTACTTTTTTTTTTTTTTGTATTTTTATTAGAGACGGGGTTTCACCGTGTTAGCCAGGATGGTCTCAATCTTCTGACCTTGTGATCCGCCTGCCTCGACCTTCCAAAGTGCTGGGAATACAGGCTCAAGCCACTGCTCAGGGCCAAGATTATTGTTTTAAAGTGTGAAAATTAATATTGAATTCTTGTGTTTATATAATATGGTGTCCTATAATTTCTGTTTGGAATATAAAATCAGCAACTAATATGTATTTTCAAAGCATTATAAATACAGAGTGCTAAGTTACTTCACTGTGAAATGTAGTCATATAAAGAATATAATAATTATACTGGATTCTTTTTAAATGGGCTGTCTAATATTATATTAAAAGGTTTCCCCAGTAATTCATTATATCAAAATGCTCCAGGCCGGGCGTGGTGGCTTACGCCTGCAGTCCCAACATTTTGGGAGGTCGAGGTGAGCGGATCATTTGAAGTCAGGAGTTGGAGACCAGCCTGGCCAACATGGTGAAACCACGTCTCTAATAAAAAAACAAAAAATTTGCTGGGTGTGGTGGTGGGCAACTGTAATCTCAGCTAATCAGGAGGCTGAGGCAGGAGAATTGCTTGAACTTGGAAGGCAGAGGTTGCAGTGTGCCAAGATCACACCACCCCACTCCAGCCTGGGTGATAGAGCAAGACTCAGTCTCAAGGAAAAAAAAAAAAAAAAAACCTCGAAAAATGTTTTCTTATTTTGGTAAAATTATTCATTGACTATGCTCAGAAATCAAGCAAACTGTCCATATTTCATTTTTAGAAATTACATATTAAAGATCTAAAACAAAGGATAAAATATATGCAAAAATATTTGTATTTCTGGATAAATTAGTTTCCTGAGTTAACTCCTTGACTGTTGACATTGAATCTATTTTAAATTAAACAAGGTGCTGATAAAACAAAAGACAAAGAAAGAAATTCAAAATAAAATTGAAAGATGAAATTAGAGCTTACCAGAGATAAAATTTCCTCTGACAATGTAAAAGAGATCTTCATACAAAAAGCAGAATTTATATAGTCTCTTTCCAAAAGACCATAAAACCAATCAGTTAATAGTTGATTTTTATGTGAAAAAAGAGACTGTAAAAGAAAAAATAATGACACCAAAATCCCTTTTAAATTCAAAGAGTCATAAAGTTTCAAAAATGTAATTCAGATAAGAAATTAATGTCAGCTACATTCCTCCACAGTAAAGGTTTGCATCAACTTTTCAACTAATAGTTTTAGCATTCATTAGAAAACTTGTTTCAACCATTATTTTACTAGGTGTTATAACAGGGTACTACATTCTTTCATTTTTTTCTTCATTTATTAGCTGGAATAATTTCTAAAAGAACATTTCCTCTCAAATGTTTATTGATTACACCAAAACACAGTTTGGACAGGAAAAGCAAGAGAAATAGACAAAAGCTTGATTTTTATTCCCCTCCCCACTTTTCACAGTAATGAATTAGTGCTTCAACAAACTTTAATAGTGATTAAAAACTTATTTCCCATAATAAAAATTTGAAGTATTTGTAAGTAAATGATAAATAATAATTTATCCAGTATTTCATGAGTACCTATAATCAGCCAGGATCCATTCTCCAACAATGTGGGGAAAGGAGCCCAGTTTAAAATTCCTGTCAGGACACCAGCAAGATGATGCAATAGAAAGCCTCAAAGCCCCTCCACCCTCCTCTCCAAGGAGACACCAGCTCGACAATAATACACAGATAAATCCCCTTTGTAACAAGTACAGAGGTGAATTTAAAGACTCTGGATTCCCTGGTAGGCTTCAAGCCAGGCACATCTAAACCAACAGGTAAATTTGTTGCACTCACTCATCATCCCTCAGCAGTACAACACAATAGAGAGAAAGCTCCAAACTCCCAGCTCATCTCTAGGAAGAGAAATAAAAGTCTAGACCATATGTCCAGCATTTTGACTTTTTGGGAGGGCACTAGCACCTATCTATGCTGAATCTAAGTGCTAAAAGGAAAGGATGCCAGATTGCATGCCTGCTGATAAAGCCACCGTTTGGACTGTCACTCAATCCACCATCATTCCTCCTGTGACTCAGTATAACAAGATTGGGAGAATACTCTACAGTTCCTGATTCCCCCACAGAAGTGAAAGAGAATGCTGAAACACACATTCAGTGTTCAGACTTCAGGGGAGTTTCCAAGTGATTGTTTTCTGTCTTGCCTGAATTTAAGCGCTAACAGGAAAGCTTTCCAGGTTGGGGATATTAAGAACAAATGAGTTGGGGAAGTTTGGGTTAGCATACATTCACTTATCATACCATCCTTCCTTGGATCAAGACGCAATGAGTGGGAGAAAACCCTCAACTCCTGGCTTCCCCTTGGAGAAGGAAAAAGCTGGAGTGTGCATCCAGAATTCCAACTTTTCCCAGTCAGCCTGACAGACTGTTTTCTGTCTGACTGGACGCTCTTGATGTCTGAGGACTGCTGAGAACAAAAGAGAGCTAGGGGGTTATAGCAACTCCAGATAACCTACAGTTCTACAGATAGATAACAAAGAGAGCAAGAGATTACATGCTCCTGAAGAAAGATCTGCAAATTTTTCTAAGAATTTACACACAATTCCAGAGACAATGCATTCACAGAAAGATTTGACATACTTCAGAATCTCTAACTGGGCTGACTGGTGAAAGGATTTCCCAGTGAAAACCAGTCTGTAAAGACAGGGAGAAGTGGTTATTTTTTTTCAAATCCTAGAATCGCAACACAAAATTAAAAGGCACACTAGGAAACAGGGAAACATGGCCCAATAAAAGGAAGAAAATAAGTTTCCAAATATCAACCCTTCAAAAATGGAGGTATATAAATTATCTGGCAAAGTGACATATCCTGACACATTCTCCAGGATAGATCACATGTTAGGTCACAAAACAAGTCTTAACAAATTTAAGACAAAGGAAATCAAGAACCTGTTTTGACCAAAAGTAGGATGAAGCAAAAATTCAATGGTAGAAGGAAAACTGAAACATTTACAAATATATGGAAATTAAACAACATACTATTGAACAACCAATGAGTCAAAGAAGAAATCAAAAAGAATATTAGAAAACAAGCTGACAAAAAAATAAAAAAACACAACATAGCAAAACTTAGAAATGCAGCAAAAGCAGTACTAAAGAGGGAAATTTATAGCAATAAATACCTACCTTAAAAAAGAAGAAAGATCTCAAATAAACAACCTAACTTTACAACTCAAGGAACTAAAAAAGAAGAACTAAGCCCAAACCCAGCAAAAGGAAGGAAATAATAAAGATTAATGCAAATAAAGGATATTTTCACACACATATTTTCATTATAACCAGAAAGTAGAACAAATGCAAGTGAATAGATTAAAAAAACCTGTGGTATTACTATACAAGAGAATATGGCAATTAAAAAGAGAAAAGACTCAACCAAATAAAATTAAAAATGAAAAAGTAGACATTGCAATTGATGCCACAGAAATAAAAAAAAGATTATAAGAGACTGCTGTGAATGATTATGGTAGTAATTGGATAACCTAGAAAAAAATCAAATTACTGGATATATACAACCCACAACACTGAACCAAGAAGAAATACAAAATATGAACAAATCTATAGCTAGTAAGGTGTTTAAATTAGTAATCAAAAATCTTCCAGCAAAGAAAATCTCAGGCACAGGTGACTTTACTAGAGAATTCTGCCAACATTTAAGGAAGAATTAATGCCAATATTTCTCAAACATTTCTAAAAAATTAAAGAAGAAAGAACGATTCTAAACTCTTTTTGTGAAGCTAGCATAACCCTAATATCAAAGGCAGACAATGGTGCTACAAGAAAAAAAATTAAATATCCCTAATGAATGTACATGCAAAATCCTCAACAAATACCAGCAAATTGAATTCAGCAGCACTATAAAGTATCATCCACCATAATTATGATGGATTTTTTCCTGGAATGCAAGAAGGGTTCAACATGTGAAAATCAATATAATATGCCACATTAAGAAAACAATTAAATAACGTGTCCATCTCCGTAGATGGAGAAAGAGCATTTGACAAAATTCAACATTCTCTCGTTAGAAAAACACTTGAAAAAATAGGAATAGAAGGAAATTATTCCAACACAATAAAGGCCATATGTAAAAACCCACAGCTCACATCATATTAATGAAGAAAAACTGAAATCCCTTATTCTAAGATCAGGATCAGGAACAAGGCAAGGATGCCTTTATGAAGTACATAAAGTCCTAGCTAAAATAATTAAGCAAGAAAAAGATATAAAAGGTATCCAAATTGGAAAGGAAGAAGTAAAATTTTTTCTATTCACAGAAAACATCATCTTATATATAAAAAAAACCCTAAAGATTCAACAAAAAGCTCTAAGAACTAATAAAATGAATTCAGTAAAGGTGCAGGATTCAAAATAAAGGTTCAAAAAAACACAAACAGCAAACATTCTGAAAAGGAAATTAAGAAAACAATCCATTTGCATTGGCATCAAAATGAATAAAATACTTTGGAATAAACTTAGCCGGTGGGGGAAAGACTTGTACACTGAATACTGCAAAATATTGCTGAAATAAATTAAGGAAGACACAAGTAAATGGAAAGCCATCTCATTTTCATGAATTGAAAGAATATTTTTAAATTCTAATACTAGCCAAAGCAATTTACAGATTTGATGTAATCCCTTGGAATTGTATAAATTCCAATGATAATTTCAGAGAAATAGAAAGGACAGTTCTAAAATCCATATGGAACCATAACGGACCCTGAATATCCAAAAAATCCCAAGAAAGAGAAACAGTTAGAGGCCTCACATTTTCTGACTTTGAAATATTCTGCAAAGCTACAGCAATCCCAATAGTGTGATACTAATGTAAAACTAATCATATAGATGAATGGAACAGAATGGATTAGTGGAACAGAATAGAAAGCCCACTGGGAGGCCAAGGCGCGCAGATCACCTAAGGTTGGGAGTTCAAGACCAGCCTGGCTAACATGGTGAAACCCCGTCTCTATGAAAAAATACAAAAATTCGCTGGGCATGGTTATGGGCACCTGTAATTCCAGCTACTCGGGAGGATGAGGTAGGAGAATCGCTTGAATCCAGGAGGAAGAGGTTGCAGTGAGCCAAGATCACACCACGGCACTCCCGCCTTGGTTACAGAGCAAGACTCCATCTCAAAAAAGAAAGAAAGAGAGAAAGAAAGAAAGAAAGAAAGAAAGAAAGAAAGAAAGAAAGAAAGAAAGAAAGAGAAAGAAAGAAAAAGAAAGAAAGAAAGAAAGAAAGAAAGAAAGAAAGAAAGAAAGAAAGAAAGAAAGAAAAGAAAGAAAGCAAGCCCAGAAATAAACCCACGTGCATATAGTCAAATGATCTTTGACGAGGGTGCCAAAACTATGCAATGGAGAAAGGATAATTTCTTCAACAAATATTGTTGGGAAAACTGGATATCCATATGCAAAAGAATGAAAGTGAACCCTTATCTTACACTGTTCACAAATGTTAACTCCAAATGGATTGAAGACTTAAATGTAAGAACTAAAGCTGTAAAACTCCTACAAGAAAACATAAAGAAAGGCTTTATCACATTTTTCGTGACAATAATTCCTTGGATTTGACACCAAAAGCACAGGCAACCAAAGCAAAAATAGGTTAGGGTGATTAATCAAGATAAAATGCTTCTGTGCAAAAAAGGAAACAACAGAATGAACAGGCAGCCTATAGAATTGGAGAAAATATTTGAAAACCATATATTTGCTAAGGGCTTAATATCCAAAATATATAAGAAACACCTATAACTCAAAAGCAAATAAACACATAACCCACTTTTAAAATGGCCAAATTCTTAAATGGATATTTTTCAGGAAGACATGCAAATGACAAACAGGGATATAAAAAGATACTCAACATCATTAATCATCAGGGAAATGCTAATTAAAATCACAACAGGGTTTATCACCTCATAACTGTATGATCATTTTTAAAAAAAGAAAATAGCAAGTGTTGATGAAGATGTGGAGAAATTGAATTAGAACCTTATGTACTGTCAGTAGGAATGTAAAATGGTAGAGCCACTATGGAAAACAGTATGGAGGGTCCTCAAAACATTAAAAAATAGACCTACCATATGATGCAGCAATCCCACTTGTGGGCATTTTTCCAAAATAATTGAATAATTCTAAAATAATTGAAAGCAAGTTCTTGAAGTGATATTTGCATTCCCATATTCATTACAGAATTATTCACAATAACCAAAAATTAGAAACAATCTAAAAGTCCATCATCAAATGAACAGATAAAGAAAATATGGTGTATGTGTGTATATATATATATATATATATATATATATATATATATATATATGGTGTATATATGTGTATGTGTGTGTATATATATATGTATGGTGAATATATATGTATGGTATATATATAGTATGGTGTATATATGTATGGTATATA